>NC_000003.12:197782560-197933560 GCF_000001405.40 Homo sapiens
TGTAAATGCATATTCACAAAGTTATCTGATAGGGCCTTGGAGGAGAAGGTCCAGTTTTAAAAAATGACAGTTTGTGTTTAATAAATGAAGGCATGAGAGGAAGTAAGTAGCAAGTTGAAGGACAGGTAGTTGAGATGAAACACTTCAAAACCCTGGTTATAGATGTACTGTTTGGATGTAGCATAGTCTTGAGTCTAGCGTCCACAAAGAATTATTCAAATGATATTTAGAAGAATTATAACTATTACATTGAATGGAGTCCCTTGGATATTTTGATAGTAAAATTAATAGCCATAAAGTCCTAGACTTCTTATTTGAAGTTAAAATTTCTTATTTGAAAAGTTGAAATTTATGAGCTTTGAAGATTGCTAAATTAAATAATTTATAGCTCCAAAAACAAAAATATACTTGTATATGTCACAGAGAAAAAAAATGCAAAATTTATAATAGAGTTACATTAACCTTGTTGTTTACCTTTCACTGATTTCTTATATGGTATAAATTAAAGTTCAGGCATTTATGGGGAGAAAAGGCCCTCCCCACCGACCCGCCACCTGCCACCTCTGACGGAGTGGGAGAAGTTAGTCTGTGCTAAGATAGTACTGAGTCCCCAGATGTTGTATACTGTAAATTACAGTATAATGCCAAATGCAGCAAAATCTTCCAGCTGTACGTTACAAGTTTGGTCATTTTGAAGCTTGACATTTTAGTTTGCCATTATGTTAAAAACATCTAAATAGGTGTTAGTTTCTCAGGAGTAGATTGTTAGTGTTGACTTTTCCTGTAAAGCAGACATCGTTCTTGGCCTGCCCTGCATTGTATACTAGATTTCATTGTTGTCTCTCATGCTTCTTGAGTTGCTTCATGGTTTATGCTCGCCATGGAAAGCTATCAGTAACAGTTTCATGCTTATACCAAAGAATTAAATCTGATCTTTAATATCTGATATTTTCCTGGTACTCGTACTGATAAGGGATTATTGGAAGTCAGTCACAGAATTTGGAAATAAATTCTAGTCTCTCCTTAGCTATTTGATGCTTTTCATATAGGCCAAGAACTCATTGCAAAACATTTTTGCAAGGATGAATGCCTGTATTTGGTCTAGGAACAGTACATTTTAGTCTGATTTAGAATTACTGGTAGCTTATTTTAAAGCAAGGAAAAGCAGCTGAGCTCAAGTTTGCTGTCTTTAGAATGGTTTGTGAAAATATGGTATAAAGGTGTTTTCATTTTCCTGTTCTTACCTATTATTGTATAGAGCTATTCATGCCATTTTTTGGGAAAACTTTAAAAATTGCCCCAAATACTGACATTGAGTGCATTAAATAACAAATTATCTTTGATACATTAAACTTTTATTCTTCATGCATCTGTAATTTAATTTTAAGTATAATGTTTTGCCTTTGGTACAACTAAATTAAAACTCTTGGTGGTCACATATTGTATATAAACAAAACAATATGCTTTGTTGAAGGAAAATTTTCTTTATTGGAATGTGGTTGTAATCCTTGTTCAGTTCTTAAGTTTCGGTTTTTTTTAAAAACAGGATGCAACTTAAACTTTTCTTTGCATCAAGGTATATGCAAAACATTGGTGCCGTGCATCACCAAATGAAAGTTTGTATTTAACGAGGAGGTGCTTTACACTGTACTTTTTGGTGTTTTTTGGAAAAGTTACATTTAGATCTATTCTGAAGCTGTTCATTTTTAACAAATAAAATGTTACAGGTTTCACATGATTTATTCTCAGCTCTAAAGATTGAGTTGTGGTTTTTAGATTGTTCTATGTTACGAAGAACTTTGTAGTGGTTATCTATATTTGTAGTTTTTAGGGTGTGAAACCTTATCTACTAGCAAAATTGGTAAATCACTGTAGACTCTTCTATTAGCATCCCTCTCTCTTTTGATGATTTCATTTGTAGCTCCAACAAATGAATCTAAAAAGAAGAATCCAGGCTGGGCACGGTGGCTCATGCCTGTAATCCCAGAACTTGGGGAGGCCAAGGCGGGCGGATCATGAGGCCAGGAGCAAGACCAGCCTGGCTAACATAGGGAGACTCTATCTTTACTAAAAATACAGACATTAGCTGGTGTGGTGACATGTGCCTGTGGTCCCAGCTACTTGGGAGGCTGAGGCGGGAGAATTGCTTGAATCCAGGAAGCAGAGATTGCAGTGAGCCGAGACCACGCCATTGCACTCCAGCCTGGGTGACAGAGTGACACTCTGTCTTAAAAAAACAAAAAAAAAGAATCCAGTATACTTTGCAATGCAGAATATTGGGTTAGATGAGCCTTTAGAGACTAATCCAGTTTAACCCCTCCTTTTTACACCTTAGTAAAGTGAGTCCTAGTGTTTTCAAGACTTGCATGTGGCAGAGTTATTTTTTGAGCTCAGATCTTCTAATTCTTAATTGATAATAAACTGCTTTGGTGAATTAACACCCACAGAAAATAGTGGAATGGTGTGTGGTTTTCAAATACCTAAGAATTGGTAATAGCCATGCTTTAGCATTTTTAGCATGGTAAGTAAATCTATTCTACCAGTGATGGTTATACTTTATTACTTTGCTATTTGGGTTAGGTAGACCTGTTAGAAAAGTCCAGTGTTCCTAATCAGATATGCATTTTTTAAAAACAGGCATAAACTCTTCACCACAATTTTAATTACAGTCATCCCTCAGTATACACGGAGGATTGGTTCCAGGACCCTTGTATATACCCAACCCTGCGCAATACTGAAGTCCCACATCTGTGTAAACGAAAAGTTGGCCCACTGTGTACATGGATTTTCCATTCCAAGATGTTTTTTTGGTTCAAAACAATTTGCTTATAAGTAGACCCAGGTAATTCAAAGCCATGTTGTTGAAGGGCCAACTGTTTAAGCCAATCGTAAAATACTGTGTCTGAGGAAACAGGCCTCATTGCTCAGCAGTGAGTTTTTATTAGACTAGGTATGTATATCATTATTAATATTTTACTGTAAATAGCTTTGTAATTCACACAAAGTATACGGGCCCAGCAGGCCTCATTGCTCAGCAGTGAGTTTTTATTAGACTAGGTATGTATATCATTATTAATATTTTACTGTAAATAGCTTTGTAATTCACACAAAGTATACGGGCCCAGAATAATTTTTGTTGATTTATTTTTACTATAAGGAGATAAGAGAAAAAATAGCTCACTTGGCAGCACAGAAAATGAATACCATATTGGCAATATTAAAGCAGAAAATAATTCATTTCTGATCAGTAGTGCTTTCAGTTTTCATCAGAATTATTATTATTATTATTATTTTGCCACTGTGAAAAAGCAGTTAAGCATGTAAAACTTCCCTTTAGAGAGGGTTCTTTTTGGATAGATCAATTTGGAACTAGCTTCTTTTTTTTTTTTTTAAATGATACTTCAGTAAACACAGCATTTACAACAAGAATTGTGGACTATGGTGGACCATTAATAGGGATTTAAAGATTTACTTAGAAATTGTAGACTTCTAATATCTTTTATTTCCCTTCTCACCACAGTTTATTTTCTTTTTTCTTTTTCTTTTTTTTTTTTTCTTTTTTTTCTTTTTTTGAGATGGAGTTTCACTCTTGTTGCCCAGGTTGGAGTGCAATGGTGCGATCTCGGCTCACCCCAACCTCCGCCTCCCGGGTTCAAGCAATTCTCCTGCCTCAGCCTCCCAAGTGGCTGGGATTACAGGTGCCCACCACCATGCCCAGTTAATTTTGCATTTTTAGTAGAGACGGGGTTTCTCCATGTTGGTCAGGCTGGTCTCAAACTCCTGACTTCAGGTGATCTGCCTGCCTCGGCCTCCCAAAGTGCTGGGATTACAGGTGTGAGCCACCGCACCCAGCCTACAGCTTATTTTCTACCTATGTTTAACAGGAAGCTTGATAACACAAGCAAATGTGATGCCATTCTGGGACTGAAATGTCGTCTTATGAGTGTATTCAGATGAGGTATACCAGTGTTTAAAGATTAGTTGGAAGTTATTCTCCTAGTGTGCATATTTAATTTCTACTTACTCCATTTCCCTTTAATGAGAAAAGAATCATATTGTCTGAATTTTCCTGTATAAAGTTTAAAAAAGTTAATTATTAGGACTTGTTTTTAAAGGAGTAAGCAATGGAAGGATCAAACATTTATTAAATATATTCAGCAAATATTTAGAATTAAATGTATTCAGCAAGGAAGAGAATGGGATTCATACTGCTTGGAGTTTATAAAAGCGGAGTTTTTTTATTTTTTGAGACGGAATACTCTGTCACCCAGGCTGCAGTGCAGTGGCACAATCTCGGCTCACTGCAGCCTCTGCCTCCCAGGATCCTTTCCGGGTTCAAGCAATTCTTGTCCCTCAGCCTCGTAAGTAGGTGGGATTACAAGCTTGAGCCACCACAGCCAACTAATTTTTGTGTTTTTAGTAGAAATGAGTTTTCACCATGTTGGCCAGGCTGGTCTCGAACTCCTACCCTCAGGAGATCTGCCTGCCTCAGCTTCCCAAAGTGCTGGGATTACAGGTGTGAGCCACCACGCCCGCCCTAAAAGTGGATTCTTTTTTTTTTTTTTTTTTTTGGAGACAGTCTTGCTCTGTTGCCCAGGCTGGAGTGCAGTAGTGATCTTGGCTCACTGCAGCCTCTGCCTCCCGGGTTCAAGCGATTTTCCTGTCTCAACCTTCCAAGTATCTGGGATTACAGGCACGTGCCACTACACCCAGCTAATTTTTGTACTAAGACGAGGTTTCACCATATTGGCCAGTCTAGTCTCAAACTCCTGACCTCAGGTGATATGCCCGCCTCTGACTCCCAAAGTGCTGGGATTACAGGCATGAGCTACGGAGCCCGGCCTAGAAGTGGAGTCTTAGAAGGAGTGACCATGATATGTTTCTACTGAGTAGAAGGGGGAAGGGAGGACATAACCTTTGCATGATATAGTGAAATGCAGAGCTGGAAAGAACTATTAAGATTTGAGTGAAACTTTTGCCCCCTGTGTTGAATGAGTTAACTTTCAGTCTGTAAAATAAACAGGAAGAACTGGGAAGTACACTGTATCAATTGCTAACACTGAATAACCTGCGCTGCCTGTTTTTTCAGCTTCTGCTCCCAGACCACAGACCAGTGGTGGAAGAAGTTACAGATCCCTGTAAGCCACTTTGCTCCTGGCCTTTGTACAACTATCTTTCATCATTTCTTTTATTCATCATTAGACTCTTTGGTGAACTCCCCACAAAGACTCCATTTCCTATATCTCTTTCTCATAAGACGCTGTCACCTACTTTATGGAGATGACTGAGAGAGTAGGGTAAGAATTCCCTCATAGTCTACCTTTACTTTGTAGCTGAAGCCTCAACTCCTTAGAAGTCACAGCGTTAACTGCTCAATCTATCTTTCCTTCCATCCTTCCTTTACCTAGGACTTGTTCTCATGTAATAGTATATATAGCATCTTCAGTTTCCCCCATATGCACAGGTCTTTCTTTTGGCTTTTTAAATATCTACATTTCTTTTTTCTTTTTATTTTTTGAGACAGAGTCTTGTTCTGTCGCCCAGGCTGGAGTGCAGTGGTGCGATCTTGGCTCACTGCAGCCTCCGCCTCCCGGGTTCAAGCAATTGTTGTGCCTCAGACTCCCGAGTAGCTGGGATTACAGGTGCCTGCCACCATGCCTGGCTAACTTTTATATTTTTAATAAAGCAGGGATCTACTGACTTGGGAACCCTGTTTTCCTTAAAAATTGTAATTCTTTCTTTTTTTTTCCCTAGATGGAGTTTCCCTCTTGTTGCCCAGGCTGGAGTGCAATGGCATGATCTCGCCTCACTGCAACCTCCGCCTCCTGGGTTCAAGTGATTCTCCTGCCTCAGCCTCCTGAGTAGCTGGGATTACAGGCGTGCACCACCACACCCGGCTAATTTTGTATTTTTAGTAGAGAGGGGGTTTCTCCATGTTGGTCAGGGTGGTCTCGAACTCCCGACCTCAGGTGATCCGCCCACCTCGGACTCCCAAAGTGCTAGGATTACAGGTGTGAGCCACCACACCCAGCCCAAAAATTGTAATTCTTTTTCCTTTCCTCATAACCTCTCGTGTGTGTACATAATCTATTTTGGTTTCTACTGCTTTCCACTCATTTTTATTATTTTTTAAAATTATTTTTCATTTTTAGAGATGGGATGTCATTCTCTCCTAGGCTAGAGTGCAGTGGCACAATCATAGCTTGCTGCAGCCTCAACTCCTGGCATCAAGCAAACCTACCTCACCATCCCAAGTAGCTGGGACTACAGTCAGGCACCACCACACCTAGCTAATTATTTTAAAAAATTTTAGAGACCAGAGGGTGGGAGGTGGGGTGCCCTCACTATGTTGCTCAGGCTGGTCTCGAACTCCTGGCCTCAAGCAATCCTCCCACCTTACCCTCCCAAGTAGCTGGGATTACAGGCACAAGCAAGGGTTGACTAATTTTTTAACTCCTAAAAATATACTCAGTCCTATGATAGCATAGAGTTTAATATATTAAGGACCTTAAAATCTTGTTGAATATTCAAGCATCAATCTATAAGCTTGGTCAGTTCAGGGCTAGCATAGTATGTTGCTATTACAATGGGATGTATTCATACATATAGATAGGAATGAGGCCTATTACAGAGAACTTGACAGAATTTAGTGTAGATGTGGAAGGTAATAAGCAATCAGATGACAATGGTGCATTTGAAAAGGTACATCTGGCAACTAATTCTACAGCATTGTAGCATTAGTGTGGAGTATATGAATAGATAATCAGTCATTGTAGTTGAAATCTCCCTAAAAAGTAAAAAAACTGCCCTTAAATAGCTTAATATCTTTCGAAGAATAACAGTTTTAGGAAGCCCAGGATAACAAAAAGCTATATATGCATTGGATAAATGTTATTTGCTGGGGATGACAAATACGTCACCTGCCATTGTGACCCACGCTCATAACATGTATGAGCTCATAACATATGTATGGTTATGTATCATGGAACTTGTTGCTGAAGTAACTAGAATGTATTGAGAGTTTATAGAACAGCTCTCTGGGCAGCTGTTACTAATCAACTTTGGCACTGGGATTAAACATTTTTATACCTTCTAGCATTTAGCAATTCATGCCAATTGAGGTGTCATTGAAGAGTTGGGGCTTGAATGAGAGGATCTCTCCATCCTTATTTTTCTTTTGCTCTCTGACACGAACTTTCTGATCTGTGGCCTTCGTATCCTCCACATGTTACCACTTTAAGTCGTATCTGGATGTGTTCATGCTGATCCATCTTCTAGTCTCACCTTCCAGTTTGTCCTACTTTATAATCCTTCAGGTTTAATTCAAAACCGAATTTATCCATGATATAGCTTTCTTTTCTCTGGACTCATAAGTAAGCCCCATCACTCTTAGCCCTTTTTTGTGGGCCTGTCTGGGTTCCATAATTAGATTGTGATCCTCTAGGAAAGGATTGTACCTGACAGCCTCTTCTATTTCCCATAGTAAAACTAGTTGATTAATTGTTGGTAAAATTTACATCATATAGCAGAAATGGCTTCTTCAGTAAAACAGACTGAAGAATATGCTAGAGACTGGCTGCAATATAAGTGAGGTCTAATTGGTTTTAAATGAAGTATTTTCCACTCTTTCATTTCTTGAGTGGTTTCAATTTAGAGCATCTCTTCGGTTCTACCTTTAATTCCCACATTTAGATTACAGTGAGATCATTTTCTGTTCCTCAATTTTGGTTCCAGACCAACATTTTAGATTTTAATACTACTATAATCTTGCTTTATCCAACAATAAAATCTTGCCAAAAGTACAAGTACTATTGAAGATATTTGTTGTATTTTCATTAAGAAAAGCTATTTTATAAAAGGGATGGATGATATAAAATAATACGTTTTTAATGAGAATTTTGAGCCCAATTAGCACGTTTGTTTGTTTGTTTTCTCTCCAGCAACCATAGTAAGTCCACCAAACCTTGATTTAGATCATCTGGTAATACAATGAAGTTGGGAAACGGTTTAGGTCGTATCTCAGAGGGTCCGCTCCTCTCACCATCCAAGTTTCTGCAGCAGCAGTGTTAAGAAAGATTCCTTGCCGGGCGCGGTAGGTCACGCCTGTAATCCCAGCACTTTGGGAGGCAGAGGCGGGCGGATCACTTGAGGTCAGGAGATCGAGACCATCCTGGCCAACATGGTGAAACCCCGTCTCTACTAAAAATACAAAAATTAACCGGGTGTGGTGGTGCGTGCCTGTAGTCCCAGCTACTCGGGAGCCTGAGGCAGGAGAATAGCTTGAACCCAGGAAGCAGAGGTTGCAGTGAGCCGAGATCGCGCCACTGCACTCCAGCCTGGGCGACAGAGCGAGACTCTGTCTCAAAAAAAAAAAATTCTTAATTTAATGCTTAGTCGACTCCTCCACTACTGAGGGAGCAAGGCGGAGAAGTTTTGATGCGGAGCGTTGCCTGAAAGATGTTTTTGTAGAGGCATTTTAGAAATGCCCCTGGGAGGTTAGAGTAGGGGGCTGCTCTGGATTTGTGAGGTCCGTTTTAACTTCCCTTGAAAAGCGCATCATGTGGGCGGGGGCAAGCGCCTGGCTGCGCCGGGGGGCACCACGGTGCTGCCCATCACGGGAACCGTCCGGGGTCGGTCCGTGAGCCCCTTTCTCCGCCCACCCAGCGGTCCGGCCGCGCATGCGCTGAGCTGGCGGGCCCGAGTGTTGTCGGCTGGGAAATGGCGGCCGCGGGCTTGGTCGCTGTGGCAGCGGCTGCCGAGTACTCTGGCACGGTAGCGTCGGGAGGTAACCTCCCTGGTGTTCACTGCGGCCCAAGCTCCGGGGCAGGCCCTGGTTTTGGCCCGGGCTCGTGGAGCCGCTCTCTCGATCGAGCCCTGGAGGAGGCGGCGGTCACTGGGGTGCTGAGCCTGAGCGGCCGGAAACTGAGGGAGTTTCCCCGGGGAGCGGCCAACCACGACCTGACGGACACCACCCGGGCGGGTGAGCGGGGCGGGGGGCGTCTCTGCCCGTCGGAGACCCGGCGCCGGGAGCCGCCCCGGCCGGGGGAGGCGGATGCGGGGGAGTTACAGCAGCTCGTCCCGTAGGCGCCGGGTCCGGACCCGGGTAACGGGGAGAAGCCGACGGCGCCAGCCCTCCGGGCCTGCGCCAGACCCAGAGCCTGGGGAGAGGCGGCGGGCGGCGGCATCTCTCGGGGAAGGGGGCCGGAGTGATTGATGGATGATTTTTTAGGCTTTCTGAGGAAAATCAGTTTCTGCCACGGCGGAGGTAGACCCTTGCCCCGCCCCGGTTTCTGCAGGCCCTTTCGGATTTGGGGTGCCGAATGGACCTGCTAAGACGGGAACGTTAGCGCGAGCTCTTCACAGATCAGAGTAGCAGGGGTGTCTGGACGAGCTGCATTGTCAGGAAGGGTCGGTCTCAGCCCTGGAGTTTTTTCGAAAGAAGTGTTGGGGAGCGTGTGTTTAAAGTGGACCCGAAAGAAGTGTTGGGGTGTGTGTGTGTTTAAAGTGAACCCGAGAGAAGTGTTGGGGTGTGTGTGTGTTTAAAGTGAACCCCAAAGAAGTGCTGGGGTGTGTGTGAAGTGAACCCGAACGCTGGAACGTCTTTCTTCGCCTCCATCTAGTTGACTTACAAAATAAATACGCTTGTAAAAATAACTAGAGCCCACTTTCCGACTCCCATTAGTTTCCTCTTCCACTCCTCATGTCCTCCAAAAAAAAGTTGAAGCAAACTACTTAGAAAAGATAGTCTAACATATTTGTACTTGCTATTCCTTTTTAAAGCATTACTTCGTGTTATGTATGTTTTCGAACACAGGAAAGAGAATAAGAAAGTAGGTATTATTTGGCTTTCTTAGTTGTGGCGAACAGTGTCTGGTGCCCGAGTTGTTCATCATCATGTTTGCAGTGCCGTCATCACTGCTCACTGCAGCCTCGACCTCCCGGGCTCAGGTGATCCTCCCACCTCAGCCTCCTGAGTAGCTGGGACTACAGGCAGCCGCCACCACGCCCAGCTAATTTTATATATATATATATATATATATATATAAAATATACATATATATATAATATACATATAAATATTATATATAAAATATATATATATTTTTTCGAGACGGTATCTCGCTCTTGTCTCCCAGGCTGGAGTGGAATGACACAATCTCTGCTCATTGCAACCTCTGCCTCCCAGGCTCAGGTGATCCTCCCACCTCAGCCTCCCGAGTAGCTGGGACTACAGGCGCCCGCCACCACACCCGGCTAATTTTTGGATTTTTATTAGAGACGGGATTTCACCATGTTGGCCAGGCAGGTCTCGAACTCCTGACCTCAGGTGATTCGCCCGCCTCGGCCTCCCAAAGTGCTGGGATTACAGGCGTGAGCCACCGCGTCCGGCCAATATTTTGTATTTTTTTGTAGAGACGGGGTTTTGCTATGTTGCCCAGGCTGGTCTCCAACTCCTGGGCTCAAGCTATCCGCCGACCTCGGCCTTACAAAAGGTTGAGATTACAGGCGTGAGCCACTGCGGCTGGCAGTACTTGGTGTCTTATTTTATTTTAAAATCTTAGATTGAGCACATTTTCTATGCTTTGCAGTCATTAAAAATTTATAAGTATTACATATGATTCACTCATTTTGGAAAAATAAACAGAACTGTTAAACTAAAGAAGCGATTCTTTCCAAAGAAACTTTTGCTGTAGTTTAAAATAGAAGAAATTAAATGCCTGCTTATTTAATCTCTTTTTGGAAACAGTTGAACTGAATATTTTTTAGTGATTTAAAGTTTCTTGCTAAGGTAAATATGAGCAGCCACTTTCCTTTTGTGTGTGTTCTGGTAGACGGCATGTAAAATTATCATTCACACCTCAGATTTCCTGCTTCTGTTTAGGAGATGGCTATATGGTATAGTGATTTCATATTGGTGTGAGTCATTTCATTGTTACTACATCAAGCCTGAAGCTAAAGAACAAGTTGATTACAGGAGTCTGTCTAGCTCATTTTCTCACCTGCTTTTCAGTAGGTCTAGGAGCACCGTGTTGAGTCCTTAAATATTTTATTGACTAAGAAAATCCAAGTGCATTTATGAAGAATAATAAGTAATACCAAAGAGGTTTTTCCTTACTGTGCTCTGAGTTTTTAAGTATGGTGTTGCCTACACTTTAATAGTTTTGTATAGAAACCACATTTTTTGTTGGTTGATTTTTCATCTGGTCAAAACGTGTAAAAAGAAAATAAAAAGATTACAAGGTATTTTATAAGCTATTAGACTAGATTCATTTCTAACATGTAGTAATATCACTTATGAAATATAAAAAAAAATCTTTGGCAGACCTTGCTCGTTACCCAGTCTCTGTTTTAAACAGATAATTTAATGCCAATGACATCATTTATTGAGTGTTCACTATTTGTAATTCACCGTGTTAGATATTTTGAAATATACTGCCTTGTTAAATGCACACAATAATTTGTGGATTAAATACTATCCCCACTTTACATGTGAGGGATCACCTAGAGAAAGTCATATGGCTATCACCACTATATAGTATCACTGGTAGGATTTTGGCCCAGGTTATAGCTATCACCACTATATAGTATCACTGGTAGGATTTTGGCCCAGGTTATAGCTATCACCACTATGTAGTATCAGTGGTAGGATTTTGGCCCAGGTTCATCTAACTCTGTTCTTTCCACTGTACCATGCAACCTCTTCATATAGAAATAGGTGTTGCTGTTCCTGTTTTTACAGATGGTGGAAACCAGCATTTAGAGATGTTCACTAATTTGCTCAAAGATCTGTGGCTAAAGGACAGAGGAGACGGTATTAGCCAGGAGTTTAGTCTAGTTTGAGGTGACTCCAAAAGCCATAGTCTGTTTTTATGGCAGGTACTTTGATTAATTTGGAACCAACTTATGGTAGTTATTAGGTATGCTTAGACCTTATAGAAAATTTAAAGCCAAGTAAAATTAGTTGAATGCTAATATATAAAAGTTGCCTTGCATACTGTTTTTTCATAATGTGTAGCATGTACATGGTAGAGCTGTTGTCCTTCAAATTCGTATCCTAGGGAACAGCATATATTGCCCATATTTATAATTAGACATGATTTTGAACTTATTGGGAACGTTTTCTTGGGACTTTCTGTGCTGTTTATTTTGAAAGGTTAATCTGGCTGGGCCTGGTGGCTCTCGCCTATAATCCCAGCACTTTGGGAGGCCAGGGCGGGCAGATCACCTGAGATCGGAAGTTCCAGACCAGCTTGGCTAACATGGTGAAACCCGGTCTCAACTAAAAATACAAAAATTAGCCAGGTGTAATGGCGGGTGCCTGTAATCCCAACTACTTGAGAGGGTGAGGCACGAGACTCGCTTGAACCCAGGAGGCGGAGGTTGCAGTGAGCTGAGATTGTGCCACTGCACTCCAGCCTGGGTGACAGAGTAAGTGCTGTCTTAAAAAAAAAAGAAAAAAAAATATTAATCTTTTGGAAAAGGGGAATATTTATTTGGGAATGGGTGACTTGATCCAGTGGACAAGGAAAGTCTTAGAAGACATCACAGAAGACTTCTTGAAGCAGAAAGGATATAACTTGGATTTGGGCAAGCAGAAACAAGAAGGAAAGCTATTTTAGGCAGTGGTGGACAGCACGCAAAAAATGTTAAGAGTATAAGGGACATCAGTTAATTTTGCCAGTCCATTATTCAGTCCCTTCTGGTAATAGTACTCCAATTTTCCTAGGGAACCACCCCTCTCAGTTATATGAACCCCACCCTGGCATAGGGTATGCCAGTGACTCAGGCCTAGCTAATGGTCAGTCAGTATATAGTCCATTGCTCTGGCCATAGTGATTGTTCAGAGGTGGGCCCATTTTGCAATCAGCACACATGAGTAACTGAATTTTTTGTTGAACTATTGAGAAAGAGGCATGCTTTGAGCCCTGGGGTTGCTGAGACAATAGGATGTTAGCCTGGAAGTTACCAATAAGTGGGAAGCAGAGCCAAAAGATGGAAGTTCTGATGGCAGTGTTTGTACCTTTGGGTCAGCCGCCATGCCTAAAGTCAGTGCTATCTCTGTACTTTCAAATTATGTGAGCTAATAAATTCTTCTTTCTGCTTAAGGTGAGTAAAAAAGTTGTTGTTTTTTTTTTTTTTTTTTTTTTTTGAGATGGAGTCTCGCTCTGTCACCCAGGCTGGAGTGCAGTGGCATGATCTCGGCTCACTGCAACTTCTTTCTCCTGGGTTCAAGTGATTTTCCTGCCTCAGCCTCCTGAGTAGCTGGGACTACAGGCGCCCACCACCACGCCTGGCTAATTTTTATATATTTAGTAGAGATGGGGTTTCACCATATTGGCCAGGCTGGTCTCAATCTCCTGACCTTGTGATCCGCCCGCCTTGGCTTCTCAAAGTGCTGGGATTACAGGTGTGACCCACCGCACCCGGCCAGAATTTTTTGATGATAAAAAGGTCCTGACTAATACAGTGAAACTACCCGTGATGATATTGTGGTGAGACAAATTTGGTCAAAATAAATTATTGGATTAGAGAATATAAGAGCTGCCTTTCGTATATGAGGAAGCTAGATAGCCAATAGCTTTAGAGGTCAGCATTCATTCAACAGACATTTATTGACTAAAGGACTTCGGCAGTTATTGGTGTATGAAGAGGACCAAGACACTCCCTGCCCTGACAGAACTCAAGGGATCTAATGGGGAGATAGACGGGTGGAAGGATTGTTTGAATTGTGCAATAATAGCACAACTACTATGTTTTAGGCATTATGCTGGGTAATGTAGAGGAAACAAAAATGAGGCCTTACGAATATTTTTAAATCTAGTAATCTGGTTGGGTAGCTGCATAACAGAAAGCTGTGAGGGAATGAAATCCTGGTACACTGAGATCATACTGGACAATGAAAATGTACAAATGCTGATTGAATTTATTTAAAAAAGGATAGGAGTCCAAGATCACTGTTAAACCTGTAAGACTAGAAAGATGGTAATGCTATTGCTTATAATAGTAGCTAACATTTATTGAGGTCTTAACATATTCCAGGTATTGTGCTAAGCTGTGTGTGTCTATATATAACATGAACAAAAACAACCATAGTAAGTTGTAAATACTATTTTTGACCCCATTTTACGTGTGAGAAAATTGAGGCTCAGGAGATTAAATAATTTGATCAAGGTCTCCCAGCTAATAAGTGACAAAACTAGGATTCAATTTCTGATACATTTGACCCTAAAATTTGTGTTATTGATCAATAATTATACCGACAAGTTGGTTTCCTGTAATTTCTTTGGTTTGCCCAATATCTTTGAAGGGTTGGTAGCACATCTAGTGAATCATGTGGGACAAATAGAAACAAATAGAAACTAGAGCTTTAGAATGTAGAGTGACACTTTAGGAGGCTGAGGTGGGTGGATCACGAGATCAGGAGTTCAAGACCAGCCTGGCCAACATGGTGAAACCCTGTCTCTACTAAAAATACAAAAAAATTTGCTGGGCATGGTAGCACACGCCTGTAATCGCAGCACTTTGGGGGGCCGAGGCGGGCAGATCACCCGATGTCAGGAGTTCAAGACCAGCCTGGCCAACATGGTGAAACCCCATCTCTATTAAAAATATAAAAAATTAGCTGGGCGTGGTGGTGCATGGCTGTAATCGCAGCTACTTGGGAGGCTGAGGCAGGAGAATTTCTTGAACCCTGGAAGTGGAGGTTGCAGTGAGCTGAGATCACGCCATTGCACTCCAGACTGGGCAACGAGCAAAACTCCATCTCAAAAAAAAAAAAAAAAAAAAGATGTAGAGTGAAGTTAATTAAGGCTATGGAATAAATTCAAGAGAGTCATAGTGAGAGTTTATAAGATTCTTGGAGGAAGGACGTAGAGAATGGAAAAGGTAGGCACTGTCAACTCAGGGAGATACCAGCATTTTAAAAGGTGGAAAGAGGAATCAGTCTGGGAAAAAACAGAAACAGAAAAAAGATTCAGTAACTAGGCCTGTACTAGAATTCATAGAATCCTAAAACTAGGCCGGGCGCAGTGGCTCACGCCTGTAATCCCAGCACTTTGGGAGGCCGAGGCAGGTGGATCACCTGAGGTGAGGAGTTTGAGACCAGTCTGCCCAACACGGTGAAACCCCGTCTCTACTAAAAATACAAAAAATAGCTGGGTGCCATTGGCAGGCGCCTATAATCCCAGCTACTCAGGAGACAGGCAGGGGAATCGCTTGTGCCGGGGAGGTGGAGGTTGCAGTGAGCTGAGATGGCGCCTCTGCACCCCAGCACTGGCAACAGAGCGAGACTCCATCTCAAAAAAAAAAAAAACAAAAAAAACAAAAAAAAAAACAAAACCAGAAAAATCCTAAAACCAGAAGGAACCATAGTGACCTTCTAAGTTATTTCACAAATGAGAAGCAATCTGAAGCTGGGTGCAGTGGCTCACGCCTGTAACCCTAGCACTTTAACACTTTAGGAGGCTGAGGCGAGTGGATCACTTGAGCCCAGGAGATGGAGACCAGCCTGGGCAACATCGCAAACCTCGTCTCTTAAAAAAATACAAAAATTAGACAGTTGTGGTGGAATGCATCTGTAGTCCCAGCTGCTTGGGAAGCTGAGGTGGGAGAATCGCTTGAGTCTGGGAGATTGAGGGTGCAGTGAGCGGAGGTCGCACCACTGCTCTCCAGTATGGGCAACAGAGTGAGACCCTGTCTCAAAAAAAATAAATAAATAAATAAATGAGAGAGAAGCAATCTCAGATTAAATGATATTCTTAACGTTGTATAGTGAGGTGATACTGTTTTACACAAGGCAAATAAGAGTCATAGCTGAAGCTTGAAGAAAACTCTTGAATGAAATACAGAAAATGAGAAAGCAAAGACTCACCATTGGTGTAAAGCCTACAGGTGAGAGCAGGATGCTGTGGGCAGGTGGACTACAATCACACACAGAAAAAGGAAACATTGACATGTGGCGGGTGAGCCAAAGTAATGCAGTGTCATTGGAGCTATGAGAATTAAAATTTTCAAGAAATGAATACTTTCTAGGTAAGAAGAATGAGGACTGCTAAAATGCCATTTAATTTTCCAAGGAGGCAGTCTGTAACTCACAAAATTATGGTTTCATTAGTCTTGGAAATACGGACTAGAGTACCAGGTCTTAATTTGAGATTGTGTTTTTCTTGGATCCTTGTTTATGTCTATTTTGTAACAGTCACAGTATATGCACTATGAATTTTTCTAGAACTGTACTGTGTAGTATGGTAGCAACTAGCCGTAAGTGGTTATTAAAATAGAAATTTAAAACTTGGTTCTTCATTTGCACTAGCCACATTTCAAGTGCTCAGTAGCCACATATGTCATTTTGGACAGCACCTTGGACCAACCTCCTCTCTGTCATACTGGACAGCACAGATAATAGAACTCTCTCATCACTGCAGGAAGTTAGGTTAGACAGTACGTTAGACTCCCCTGAGATTGGTCTTAGAAGGGAAGGGGAGGTAGTAGGATGGTTTCTTTAGGGGAGGTGAGAAGATGAACCATAGAGGACCACTGAACCAGTTTTGAGAGTACGGGAGTGACAGCAGTGCTGGGGCTGAGGAGTTCCCAGGTTCCAGTTCCTTTTACAGTGGCTATATTTGGGAGCTGGATGGTTAACGTTACTTCATGTTAGAACATCAAGTATGACTTTAAGTGGTGTGGTTATATACATGTTTCTTGTTCTTTCCAGTTCCTCTGTAAAATATCCCAGGTGCGCTTGGGAAAAATGTATGGTCAATGTGGTAATTCACACAAAGGAATATTATTTTGAATTCCTGAAGCAGCCAGCAATATCAAATGCAGTGTGACTAATTTTAGAATCAAACTAGTAGTAAAAATGTAAAGCATTTCCTTATTCACTTTTAACTTTCTTCTTTGCTCTTCACAATTTCTAAATTTTTATTGTTTGAAGGAAGTCTTAAACCTTGGATTTAAACTGGTTTAACTGATTTCTTATTTAAAAACTGGGTAATAGATTTTCCCATTAAAAACAGGTTTTTGGCTAGGCGCGGTGGCTCATGCCTGTAATCCCAGCACTTTGTGAGGTCAAGATGGGTGGATCACCTGAGATCAGGAGTTTGAGACCAACCTGACCAACATGGCGAAACCCCGTCTCTACTAAAAATACAAAAAATTAGCTGGCTGTGGTGGCACGCGCCTGTAATCCCAGCTTCAGCTACTCGGGAGGCTGAGGCAGGGGAATTGCTTATCCCGGGAGGCAGAAGTTGCAGTGAGCCGAGATCACGTCACTGCACTCCAGCCTGGGCAGCAGAGTGAGACTCGCTCTCAAAACAAAAACAAAAAACAAAAGAACAGGCCGGGTGCAGTGGCTCATGCCTGTAATCCCAGCACTTTGGGAGGCCGAGGCAGGTGGATCATGAGGTCAGGAGTTCAAGACGAGCCTGGCCATGATGGTGAAACCCTGTCTCTACTAAAACTACAAAAAAAAAAAAAATTAGCCAGGCGTGCTGGCAGGTGTTTGTAATCCCAGCTACTCGGGAGGCTGAGGCAGGAGAATTGCTTGAACCCCGGTGGTGGAGGTTGCAATGAGCCAAGATCACGCTGATCGCACCACTATACTCCACTCCAGCCTAGGCGACAGAGTGAGACTGTCTCAAAAAAAAAAACCCCACAGTTTTTTAAAAATGATTTTCATATCATAGAGAGTGGGAAGGTAAGCCACAGTCTTCTTAAGATTTCCAATAAATGCAACAGATTAGATCCAGAATATTTAAGAATGTCTATACACAAGTAAGAAAAAGACAACCCAGGAGAAAACTGAGAAAACACTTGAACTAGTACTTTACTAAAGAGGAATTCCAAGTGGCCAATAAATGTTTGAAAAGGTGCTGAACCTCATCAGTAATCAAGAGATTGAAAAATAAAACCACAGTGGGTACTACTTTACAAGTTGATGATTCCAAGTACTGGAAAGAACGTGGAGCAGTGGAGACACTCATACGATGCTGTGGGAGCTTGTGGGAGTGTGAATTGGTGCCTCAACTTTGAAAATGCTCTGGAACGATCCAGGAAGGTTTAAAATACACATATTCTGTGACTCAGAAATTCCACTCTTGAGATAAATCTCTCAGAGAAAGTTGTGTGTATGTATACCAGGATATATAGTATGATAAGACTGTCCATAGCATTATTCATATTTGACAAAATAGAAACAACTTAAGTGATGATCACCAGTAGAATGGATAAATCAATTGTGTGAAAATGAGCTGGCCAAGTGCGGTGGCTCACACCTATAATCCCAGCACTTTGGGAGTTTAAGGTGGGTGGATCACAAGGTCAGGAGTTCGAGACCAGCCTGACCAACATGGTGAAACCCCGTCTCTACTAAAAATACAAAAAATTAGCCGGGTGTGGTGGCGGGCGCCTGTAATTTTAGCTACTCAGGAGGCTGAGGCAGGAGAATCGCTTGAACTTGGGAGGCAGAGGTTGCAGTGAGCTGAGATCACACCACAGCACTCCAGCCTGGGCAACAGAGTGAGACTCCATCTCAAAAAAAAAAACAAGAAAATGGATGAGCTATAACTATATGCAGTTGCAGGAATGAACCTTAGAAACATAATGTCGAGAAAGTGAAGTGTGAAGCATAATATATACGGTGCAAATATATTTAGTAAAGTTCAAAAACAAAAAATATAAGTGCTAAAAGTACAAAGAAAAGGAAATAATTGCCATAAAAATCAGGATAATGGTTACCTCTAGGGGAGAAGGAAAAAGCTGTGATTAGGAAAGGGAGCTTTGGGTTGGGAGTCAGGGATATATTTCTGAAGTATTGGAAATACTCTGTTTCATGACCTTGGTGGTGATTATATGGTTGTTCATGTTATACTTTTAAAAAATTGAATTGTATGTTTATGATTTATTCACTTTTCTTCATTTATGTTCGACTTTTGTTGAGGCTAACTTCTTCATTGTTAACTCATGTATTTCTCATGGCACCTCTTCTTTTTGGCCATCTCTTTTTAAATTCTCTTCCTTTCTCTCTACCATCCCTCCTCCCCAGTTAGGCACTTATTGTTTTCTTAATACCCTGTGCACATTTTTTTATTGTCACAGTAAACAATATCATCTTTTCTTCTACTAGATTGGCAGCTTCTTGAAGGAGGTATATTAGTTTTCTGTTGCTAAATAGCAAATTATTACAAATTTAGCAGCTTAAAATAGCATCCATTTACTATAGTTCTATAGGTTAGGAGTCTGGACTCAGCTGAACTCAAGGTTTCACAAGACTGAAATTAACGTGTTGTCAGGATGGGCTTTTATCTGGAGGCTTTGGGGAACAGTTTGCTTACAAGTTCATTCGAGTTTTGGCAGAATTCAGTCTTTGTGGTTATAAAACTGAGGTTCTTATTTCCTTTCTGGTTGTCAGCCTCAGGCCACTCTCAGGTCCTGGATGCCACTTGTATTCTTACAACATGGCCCCCTCCATCCTCAAGCCAGCATTGGTGTGTCATCAAACACTTCTCGTGCTTCCAGTTTCTCAGACTTCCTCTGCTGCTGCTATCCAGAGGGTTGATGTGATGAGACTGGGTTTACCAAGATTGTGCCTCTTTTGATTAATTCTAAAGTCAACTGATTAGTAGACTTCATTACATCAGCAAAATCCCCTCTTCCACATAAGGAAGATACTCAGGGTATGAGATCCTGTATTCACAGTTCCAGGAATTAGAGTGGTGTCTTTGTCCATTTTGTGCTGCTATAACAGCATACCACACACAGACTGATTAATTTATGAGTAGAAATTTGTTGGCTCACAATTTTGGAGGTTGGAAAGACCAAGATCTAGGTGCTGCCATCTAGTGAGGGCCTTCTTGCTGTGTTATATTTTGTTGAAGATTTTTCCATGTATGTTCATCAGTGATAGTGGCTTGTAATTTTATTTTTTGTGTCCAGCTTTGGTATCAGGGTAATGCTGGCCTCGTAAAATGCGTTTGGAAGTATTCCCTTCTCTTTAGTTTTTTTAAGAGTTCGAGAAGGATTGTTATTAGTTCTTCATATGTTTGGTAGAATTCAGCAGTGAAACCATGGCTTTTCTTTGGTGAGAGACTTACTGATTCAATCCTTACTCATTAATCTGTTCAGATTTTCTGTTTCTTCATGATTCAATCTCGGGAGGTTCTATGTTCCTAGGAATTTATGCGTTTCTTCTGAGTTATCCAGTTTGTTGGCGTATAACTTTTGAGTATTTGTTGAATGAATGGATGGGTGAATGATAAAGCGAAAAGAAGTGATTGAGAGCCTGTTCACTTTCATAGCTTTGGAACAGTGACACCTGCCTGCTGTATAAAGTAACTGGTTTCAGTGGGGACCCTGGGAGTTTCAATCAGAACATTCTCAAGGATAATACTAGTGAGTATGCTTCTCTTTGGTGTGAAAAAGTCAAGCATTCAGAACTTTTAAAATTGGTGTCATAGAGGATAAGAGAAATGATGTTACATGTGCTAAGAGTTGTTTTCTCAAAATAAATGTCAACTTCTAGGTATTTGGGAACTTTCACAGTGGATTCATTGATTATAATAAAAGGAATAAAAATGTTAAACCTTATATGTAGTGAAGGAGGCTTTCTCTGTTTATCCAGTGTTTTCAACTTTGGTAGTTATATGTCTCACTTGTGTAAGGAAAATCTTAGTCAGATAATGTGGTCATGCTTCTTTTAGCCTATAAAATTTGTGGCTTCTGGCCATCTATTATCAAGTGACAAGCTGTAGCATATTGATTCTCAGGCTTTAGTGTTGTGCATAGAATCACCTGGGGCTCTTTTTAAAAAATACGCATCCCTGGGTGAGATTACTAGAGAGATTCAGGAGATCCGGGGTGGAGTCCATTAAACTACATTTTTAACAAGCACCCTGATGGTACTAGGTGCAGGTAGTTAAGAACCACCTGAAAAACATTTCCTTAGAATTTGCTACTTTAGCCAGGTGTGGTGATTTGCGCCTGTAATCCCAGCTACTTGGGAGGCTGAGGCATGAGAATCACTTGAACCTGGGAGGTGGAGGTTGCAGTGAGCTGAGATTGCACCACTGCACTCTAGCTTAGGCCACAGAGTGAGACTGTTTAAAAAAAAAAAAAGAATTTGCTCCTTTACTCTAAAAGTTATTTTGGAGGATAGTGGTTTTTCACATCTGGTTCTATGGCATGCCATAGAAGGTTCGCAGGACCTTGTGAGAAATGCAGAATTGCAGGCCTCATCTCGGAATAAGAATCTGCATTTGCATTTCAGTTTAAGAAGCACTGCTGTAACGTTAACCAGGTAATTCTTTTTCCAAAGGGTCTCAGTAAGTAAATAATTGGCCTTAGTTAATTTAACCCATATGATATGGGGCGACCAAATTGAATACTTTCAACATCAGTCTATTAAAAAATGAAAAGGGACCGGGTGTGGTGGCTCACGCCTGTAATCCCAGCACTTTGGGAGGCTGAGGCAGGTGGATCACTTGAGGTCAGGAGTTCGAGACCAGCCTGACCAACATGGTGAAACCCCATCTCTACCAAAAAATACAAAAATTAGCCAGGCGTGGTGGCGTGCACCTCTAGTTAGTTCTAGGTACTAGGGAGGCTGAGGTGGGAGAATTGCTCAAACCCCAGAGGTGGAGGTTGCAATGAGCCAAGATTGTGCCACTGCAGTGGGCGACAGCGTAAGACCCTGTCTCAAAAAAAGAAAAAAAAAAAGACCCACTTTGTGGGTGGCAATAAGCAAAGAAGAAAGTTATGACACCAGTTGCCTTGTTCCTAGGATATGATGTGCTGAACATATCATGGATATGTACATGGTTAGAGTTTGATGTTAGCAAGTCCTTTTAGACTGTGCCTTGCCTCAGCTGCACCCCTCCTTAAGTTATACTGGAAAATAAAAAAACCTTCGTATGTCATCCCAGTAGGTATGGTAAGGATCCAGAGTGCAGAAATCCCATCGTGTATCCAGAGCTCAATTATCTTGTCCTCACTCCTATCCTGAGGACTGGGGCTTTCCACCCAAAATTGTTATACCAGAAACAGGGCTCTACTACTCATTGGTGTATTTGTTTCTAGTACCTACTTTTAAAAGACTGTTACTTGCTCAGCTGCTTATCTTGCTTGTGAAGACAATGTTTAGTAACACGAGGAGAACTACAGACATTATCGTGGTCCAATCAACAGTGACCATCACAGGTTTGTTAATTTTGCTGTTTTATCATAATACTTGCAGTTAGTAAACACTTCCTTATTTTCTAATGTAAGAATGACAAATAGAACTTAAAGACATTTCCAATAGAATCTATCTGTACCTCGATTATCCACTCCTTTTTTTTTTTCTTTTTTATTTTTTTGAGACAGAGTCTCACTCTGTCGCCTAGGCTGGAGTGCAGTGGTGTGATCTTGGCTCACTGCAACCTCCACCTCCTGGATTCAAGCAATTCTCCTGCCTCAGCCTCCTGAGTAGCTGAGATTACAGGTGCGTGCCACCACACCTGGCTAATTTTGTATTTTTGGTAGAGCTGGGGTTTCACCGTGTTGGTCAGGCTGGTCTCGAACTCCCGACCTCAGTGATCTACCCGCCTTGGCCTCCCAAAGTGCTGGGATTACAGGCGTGAGCCACCGCGCCTGGCCAAGAAAGCCATTTTTTCAAGTCATTCAGAATATGTGATTGCTTTTCCTGAGGGGCAAACTGATAAAACATGACATGTTGGACTATCCTTGATAACTTTTCCAGTAAGACACTTTTTTCTTAAGGGTCTTACCTCTATCATATTTTTGAAGGAGAAGAACGTGCAACAGAAAAATCAAGGAGGCTTTTTCTTCAGAGGGCTGGGACTAAAACTGGGTCTGGATTTGGGTGTAGGCTTGCTAAAGAGGGGGACACGCCTCCAAACTGAAAACCTAATGACAGCCGACATGCAGAATGGTAAGATCTCTAGGCATCTCCCTGCTTGGCTGATATACTCCTCTGATTATTGGAGTTTTTAGAGGGGGACACGCCTCCAAACTGAAAACCTAATGACAGCCGACATGCAGAATGGTAAGATCTCTAGGCATCTCCCTGCTTGGCTGATATACTCCTCTGATTATTGGAGTTTTTAGAGGGGGACATGCCTCCAAATTGAAAACCTAATGACAGCCGACATGCAGAATGGTAAGATCTCTAGGCATCTCCCTGCTTGGCTGATATACTCCTCTGATTATTGGAGTTTTTGGAGAAAATCTAGGGGAAAAGAGAAAAGATTTTAAGGTATCGGTACTTACAGAACCCAAATGAAACAGCCAGGTCCCTACACTGTACCTTACAGGGAAGTGTACATACAGAGTTTCCACCCAGAATTTCAATGTTATGGGTTTTTTTTGTTTTTGTTTCTGTTTTTTTGAGACGGAATTTCACTCTTGTTGCCCAGGCTGGAGTGTAATGGTGCGATCTTGGCTCACTGCGACGTCTGCCTCCCGGGTTCAAGTGATTCTCCTGTCTCAGCCTCCCGAGTAGCTGGGATTACAGGCATGTGCCACCACACCCGGCTAATTTTGTATTTTTAGTAGAGACGGGGTTTCTCCATATTGGTCAGGCTGGTCATGAACTCCCGACCTCTGGTGATCCACCTGCCTCGGCCTCCCAAAGTGCTGGGATTACAGGTGTGAGTCACTGCGCCTGGCCTATGTTTTTAAATATGAAAAGAAAACTAAATACTACTAGATAGTTGAAGAACATTTCTCTTTTTTCTTTTTTCTAATTTTAGTAGAGACAGGGATCTTACTGTGTTGCCCAGGCTGGTCTCAAACTCCTGAGCTCAAATGATCCTCTCACCTCAGCCTCTCAAAGTGCTAGGATTACAGGCATGAGTGCCTGGCCTTGAAGAACATTTCTGACATCAAAGAGAAGAACATAACAAAAGGAACCCAGAGAAAACAGACAGTGCTGACAAAAGAAAAACTTCCAAAAATCTGGAATCAATATCCTAAAAGTCAGAAAAGAAGGTACTGCAGACATGAAATATAATAAGGGTCTCTAAGAAAAGGGCATAGGAATGCCGGACATGGTGGCTCACTCCTGTAATCCCAGCACTTTGGGAGACTGAGGCAGGTGGATCACCTGAGGTCAGGAGTTCAAGACCACCCTGGCTAACATGGTGAAACCCTGTCTCTACTAAAAATACAAAATTAGTTTGGTGTGGAGTTTCACCATGTTGTCCAGGCTGCCCTTGAACTCCTGACCTCAAGTGATCCACCCGCCTCAGCCTCCCAAAGTGCTGGGATTACAGGTGTGAGCCACTGCATCCGGCTCCTGAGACCCCATTTTTACAAAAGATTTAAAAGAAAAATTAGCCTGACATGGTTCCGCATTCCTGTGGTCCCAGCTACTCAGGAGGCTCAGGTCAGAGAATCACTTGAGCCCAGGAGTTCCAGGTTTCAGTGAGCTGTGATTGCACCACTGCACCCTAGCCTGGGCGACAGGGCGAGACCCTGTGTCAAAAAAAAAAAACAAACAAACATGCATACACACATACAAGAGTTAAAAGTGATTGCTTTAGGGGAGCAGGTATTGGGAGTTAATGAGGAATTAGACCTCTCCTGTTTGGGTGCTAATTTTTACTTTCAGCCTATATCCTTCTACTTGAAGTGAGTTTCTTGTAAATAACATAGAGTTGCATTTTTTTTTTTTTTTTGAGACGGAGTCTCGTTCTGTCGCCCAGGCTGGAGTGCAGTGGCGCGATCTCGGGTCACTGCCAGCTCCGCCTCTCGGGTTCACACCATTCTCCTGCCTCAGCCTCCCAAGTAGCTGGGAGTACAGGCGCCCGCCACCACGCCCAGCTCATTTTTTTGTATTTCTTTTTAGTAGAGACGGGGTTTCACCGGGTTAGCCAGGATAGTCTCGATCTCCTGACCCTGTGATCCGCCCGCCTTGGCCTCCCAAAGTGCTGAGATTACAGGTGTGAGCCACCATGCCCGGCCGCATCATGTTTTTAAATCCACTTTGCTAATCTCTGTATTTTGGTCATTTGATCTGTCTTTTAGATAATTTGTATTTCATATCATTGTTGATGTGTTAGGGCCTAAGTCTGCCATTTTATTTGTTGTTTCCTTTGTTTTCCTTTCTGTGTTCTTTTTCTTGCCTTCCTGTGGGGTTCGTGAACATTTTTTAGAATTCCATTTTTATTTCTCTGTAGTGTTTTTGAGTGTATCTCTTTGTGTAGCTCTCTTTGTTGCTGCCCTAGGTATTACATGAGAGAAGTCCAACTTGTCAGTCTATTGGTATCCTTATTTTATGAGTTTGAGTGACGTATAGAAACCTTACCCCCTTCATGTCCCTTTTCTTTCCCTGTTATAGTTGTCTTAAATATTTTCTCTATAAATATTTAGAATCACATCAAACAGTCTTATAATTTTTGCTTCCAATATAATTTGGAAAACTCAAGAGAAGGAAAGTCTTTTATATTTACCCATATTTTTGCTTAGTGTTATGTACTGAATTTTGTCCGTCACCCACAAATTCATACATTGAAGTCCTAACTCTCAGTATCTGCGATTGTGTTTGGAGGTAGTACTTTTAAAGAGGTAATTAAGTTCAGATGGCATCATTTGGCTGGGCTGTAAGTCAATACAAGTGATGTCCCTGTGAGAGGAGATTAGGACAAAGACAAAGAGGAAAGATGATATGAAGACTCAGAGAGAAGACAGCATCTGCAAGCCAGTGAGAGAGACCTCAGAAGAAAGCAACCCTGCTAACACCTTCATCTCAGACTTCTAGCCTCCAGAATTTGAGAAAATACATTTGTATCGTTTCAGCTGCCCACTGTGTGGTATTTTATTGTGGCAGCTCTAGCAAACTCATACGCTGTGTCCTTTCTTGGTGTTTTAAGATTCCTTTCTTTCACCACTTACTTTCTATTTAGAGAACTTCCATTACTCATTCTTTTAGATTACATCTGCTGCTACAGACTCTCTCAGTTTTCATTCATCTGAGAATGTGTTGATCTCCTCTTGATTCCTGAAGGACATTTTGCTGGATATATATACAATTCTGGGTGAACAGTCTTTCTTTTAGTGATTGGAAGATGTTGGGCCAGGCGCAGTGGCTCATGCCTGTAATTGAAACACTTTGGGAGGCCGAGATGAGCAGATCACTTGAGCCCAGGAGTTTCAAGACCAGCCTGGGCAATGTGGCGAAACCCCATCTCTCCAAAAATTAGCTGGGCATGGTGGCACATGCCTGTAGTCTCAGCTACCTGGAAGGCTGAGGTGGGAGGATCACTTGAGCCCAGGAGATCAGAGCTGCAGTGAGCTGTGATTGTGCCACTGCACTCCAACCTGGGTGACAGTGAGACTGTCTCAGAAAAAAAAAGGATGATGTTCTGCCACTTCTTTCTGGCTTCCATGGTTTCTGATATGAAATCTACTGTCATTTCAATTGTCTCTCTCTTACTGCTTTCAATATTTTTTTTTTCTTGGCCAGGCATGGTGGCTCATGCCTGTTATCCCAGCAGTTTGGGAGGCCATGGCAGGAGGATCACTTGAGGTCAGGAGTTCAGGACCAGCCTGGACAACATAGTGAGACGTCTTCTCTACCAAAAATACAAAAATTAGTCAGGAGTGGTGGTGTGTGCCTGTAGTCCCAGCTCCTCAGGAGACTGGGGTGGGAGGATCTCTCGAGCCCAAGAGGTAGAGGTTGCAGTGAGCCATGATTGTGCCACTGCACTCCAGCTGGGGTAACAGAGTGAGACCCTGTCTAAAAAAAAAAAAAGGACTTTTTTTCTCTGTCTTCCGTTTTCAGAAGTTTGGCTATAGTGTGTCTTGTGGATGTCTTTGGGTTTATCCTCTTTGGGGTTTGCTCAGCTTCTTGAATCTACAGGTTCATGACTCTTGCCAAACTTAGGAAGCTTTCACTTCAGTTCATTTTTCAGCCCTTAGAAATGCTGAAGTATTCAGCCCTGAGCTCCTTCTCTTTTGCCAGGATTCTGATGACATGAGTGTTAGATTATTGTTACAGTCCCATAAGTCCTTGCTCTGTTCAGTCTTTTTTTTTTTTTCCCCCAATCTGTTTTCTCTCTGTTGTTCAGGCTGGGTAATTTCTGTTCTGTCTTGCAGCTCACTGATTCTTTCCTCTCTGCCCTCCGCTCTGCTGTTGAACCCATCCATTGAGCTTTTTCTGTGTGTTTGTTTGTTTCCCCTTCATATCTTCTTTCTTGAGACCTTCTGTTTTTTGTTGTTGTTGTTGTTGAGGCTTTCTGGTTTTCATTTGTTACAAGAGAGTCTGTAATTGCTCTCTGAAGCATTCTTAGGATGGTCTAGCATCTCTGTCATCTTAGTGTTGGCATTTATTGTTTTTTATTTGGTTTGAGATCTTCCTGGTCCTTAGTATTGTAAATGTTTTCAGTTGTGCATTTTGGGGATTATAAGAGTCATTACAGTCTGGCAAGGATGGAAATTTAGGATCCCCACGTAACCTTTGAGTAGGGGTGAGGCTACTCAAAGGTTGCATGGGAAGCCTGTTTTTTTCCAGTTTTTTTCTGAGATATTTGGGTGGAATAGAGCAGTTATTATCTAAAAGTTTTCTGTCTTGCTAAGCTACCCTTTCCTGGTGCTTTATTATTATTTTGTTATTTTTATTTTTTGAGATGGAGTTTCACTCCCAGGTTGGAGTTCAGTGGCACGATCTTGGCTCACTGCAGCCTCCGCCTCCTGGGTTCAAAGGATTCTCCTGCCTCAGCCTCCTGAGTAGCTGAGATTACAGGTGCTCACGACCATGCCCAGCTTATTTTTGTATTTTAGAAATGGGGTTTCACCATGTTGGCCAGGCTGGTCTCGAACTGCTGACCTTAGGTGATTCACCAGCCTCTGCCTCTGGAAGTGCTGGGATTACAGGCATGAGCTACCGTGCCTGGCTATTTTATTTTTAAACTTGGAGAGGTCAGCTCCAAGTCTGGGATGCATGAGGCAAAAAGAAAACCCAGGGAATTCATTGCTATTGTTCCTTGAGTCCTGAGGTTCCTAGCCATCTTCTCTCAACCTTTTATCTGTTTTATGTATATTATCTCGGGTTTTTAGTTATAAATTAAAATTTTACATAATTTTAGAGATTTTTAAGGTACATGTCACTAACAAGAGGCAGATTACATTTCTACTTTGAGTATACACATTTAATTTTTTAAATTATTGTGGAGAAAAAAAACAGAAAAAGGAAAAAGTACATTTGTTTCATCTTCCCAGAAGCGGAAGTCACTAAAATGGCATTTAAAGTTATATAAATATACTATTTTGATAAAAATAAAAGTTAACAGTTTTTAAAAGATAACCTAAAGTCAGGTTAAAAAAAATAAGACTTTTGAATGAAAAGCATTAGAAAAACTATGTTTTGTGATCTCCCTGGGTTACATAATTAATATTAATAGCTAAAATGATTTTTATTGCATTATCTCAGTAAAATTTTCATGGGAATGGTAAGGTGGTTGAAAACGAAAAGGAAATACCTAAGCAAGGAGTGTTTTTAAATGTGACAGATGTAAACAGAAAGTCTGAAAAGCGTAACCCACTCTCATGACTCATCACGGGGTCTTCAGTGACTGCGCTGCCGTCTATGTTCTTGGTGTTTAAACTTTGGTCTGTGGGACGCACCATGAACAGTATCATTGTGATATGTTACATAGCTATCAAATAATATTTTAAATTATTACTTTTATATAATTCTTTAGGGACTTTTTGAAAATTACTTTTTAGTTTATTTCATACTGATTGTGTATTTCAGAAATTTTCATAGTTTGCATTTACCATTTCTTTATATGTTAAAGAATATTATTCCTATAATATTCTTTACAGTTTTACATTGCTCAGTGTTGAAAATCTCTTATACAGATTATTTGTCATCATCCCTGGCCATTTTCGCATTCATAGTAGTGTCTGTTCTCACAGAAAATGATGGTACTGTACATGTGGGTTTTGCATAATGGGCTGATTGGGTAAGGATGATGTCACTGCGTGGGACCGCCTGGAGGAGTTATTAGAAGAACACAAGACTTTTGACTGCTAGCATTTCTTAATAAATGCCATACTGTTGAAAACATTAATTTGTGTTTGGACTGGAATGAACCTTGGTTTTCCTGGCTTAGTTACTGAGATTTAAAGAAATAAGTCCTAATGTCATAATTACATAGCCAAATAGAATGAAATATGAAGCATTTTTCTCCCTGGCAGAGAGAAATGGGGTTAAGAAGGAAAGAAGTTACTAACTGCCAGTCTCTGTTACACAGTTGTGAGACTAATTTTTGAGATTTGAAGTTCAGGAATACTTTGAAATTTTGTTTCTGTAATTTGTGTATTATTCATTTTATTGCTGAGACATAAGATATGGTTATTAGAAAAGTCCATAATTTTAGAGATTTTTAAGGTACATGTCACTAAGAAGAGGCAGATTACATTTCTTTTCTACTTTGAGTACTACATGTTTGATTTTTTAAATTGTTGTGGTAAAATATGCCATTTTATCCATTTTTAAGCATCTGTTCAGTGGTATTAAGTACCTTCATACTGTTGTGCAGCTATCACCAACTAAATCCACTTCCAGAACTTTTTTCATTATCCCAGACTGCAACACTGTATGCGTTAAACACTAACTCCTCATTACTTCCTGGTAATCATTCTGCTTTATGTCTTTTATGAATTTGGCTGTTCTAGGGACTTCATATAAATGAAATCATATTTATCCTTTGATGTCTGGCATATTTCACTCCATAATGTTTGCAAACTTCATGTTGTACCATGTCAAAGAATTTTATTCCTTTTTGAATGTAGAATAATATTCCATTGTATGCATATAACACATTTATGGAAATATCTGTTCACCCATTGGTAGACATTTGGTTTGTTTCCATCTTTTGACTGTTGTGAATAATGCTGATGTAAATATTGGCCTACAAATATCTGTTCAAGTCTCTGCTTTCAGTTTTTTTTTTTTTTTTTTTTTTTTTTAGGTGGAGTCTCACTCTGTCGCCCAAGCTGGAGTGTAGTGGCGCCATCTCGGCTCACTGCAACCAAGCTGGATCATATGGTGGCTCTGTTTTTAGTTTTTTGAGAAACATTCAAACAGCCTCCTGGGTTCAAGTGATTCTCCTGTCTCAGCCTCCCAAGTAGCTGAGATTACAGGCACATGCCACCACGCCTGGCTAATTTTTGTATTTTTTGTGGAGACGGGGTTTCGCCATGTTGGCCAGGCTGGTCTCGAACTCCTGACCTCAAGTGATCCACCCACCTCGGCCTGTCAAAGTGCTGGGATTACAGGCGCAGGCCACCACACCCAACCAGTTCTTTTCATTCTATTCCCAGAAGTGGAATTGTTGGATTGTATGGATCATAAATATACTTCCGTGTTTGATTTTTTGAGGAACTGCCATATTCTTTTCCACAGTGGCTGTTTCCACCCAGCAAAGCGCAAAGGTTCCAATTTCTCCACATTCTTAACAACACCTGTTGTTTTTTCCTTTTTTAATAATAGTTATCTGAATGGGTATGAAGTGGTATCTTATAGTTTTTTAAATTTCTTTGAGTACGTAGTGGCTGCATATATTTATGGGGTCTGTGAGGTACTCTGATAGAGCCATACAATGTGTAATAATCACATCAGGGTAAATGAAGTATCCATTACCCCAAGCATTGATGCTTTGTGTTACAAACAATCCATTTATACTCTTTTAATTATTTCAAAATGTACAATAAATGATCGTTGACTGTAGTCATTCCCAAAAAGAGAAAACAGTGGTAAGCAAATGAATCTCACAGTAATTAATTAAATCAAAATGGGTAATGATAGAGGGGTGGTTTGTCATCATATTCCTTTGTCCTCTGCATTTTCTGAAAGTTTGCAAGTGATCCAGATGCTTAATCAGACTCAGGTTCTGTTCCTTTGGCAAGACCATAGGTAATGTTCCGTTCTTCTAATGGGAGGCATATAATTTTTTTTTTTTTTTTTTTTTTTTTTTTTTTTTTTTTTGAGATGGAATCTCGCTCTCTTGCCCAGGCTGGAGTACAGTGGCTCCATCTCTGCTCACTGCAACCTCTGCCTCCCAGGTTCAAGCGATTCTCCTGCCTCAGCCTCCCGAGTAGCTGGGATTACAGGTGTGTGCCACCATGCCCGGCTAACTTTTGTATTTTTAGTAGAGATGGGGTTTCACCATGTTGGGCAGGCTGGTCTCAAACTCCTGACCTCAAGTGATCCACCCGCCTCAGCCTCCCAAAGTGCTGGGATTACAGGCGTGAGCCACCGCGCCTGGCCTGAGGCATGTAATTTCTGATTATCTTTTGTAAAGATAACAGTCATTGATGTTCAATTCTAGATCCATTAATTCATAGGGGTTTTAAAATTGTGATATTCTATCGTTCTTTTTTATTCATAACTAGAATACTTTTATACAGAGATGCTCCCATCCATCTATTGTTTACTCAGTGATACCTTTATATAGGGAAGGCAGGATAAATGTTTGATTTTTTTCTCTTTATTTCCTCAAATGTTTGATTTTTCCTTCAGTTGCATTAGTTCGTTTTCATGCTGCTGATAAAGACAGACGTGAAACTGGGAACAAAAGGAGGTTTAATGGAACTTAAAAGTTCCACATGGCTGGGAAGCCTCAGAATCATGGCGGGAGGCAAAAGGCACTTACTTACACGGCAGCGGCAGGAGAAAATGAGGCAGGAACAAAAGTGGAAACCCCTGATAAACCCGTAAGATCTCGTGAGACTTAGTCACTATCACGAGAATAACACGGAAAAACCGGCCTCCATGATTGAATTACCTCTCCACTGGGTCCCTCCCACAGCGTGGGGGAATTCTGGGGAATACAATTCACGTTGAGACTTGAATGGGGACACAGGCAAACCGTATCACCAGTTTACAAGATAGTGTATTAGTTCTCTGTCATCTTTTTTGGGTGTGTGTCATAAACTCATGTAGTTCAATATATGTGATGAATTTCAGTCTACTGCAGTCATCTTTATCAAAGCTTAGATTGCCTCATCTTTGGCCATTGGGAACAAAGATGGTTCCTGAGTCTTTGTGACCTGACCTTGATCATCTTTGGTGAATAAAGGGACAGTGTTTTTTGTTTTGCTTTTCAAAAACCTCAGCATATTTTCTGTGCCTTTAGGAAGGTGGATTTTAGGGATCTATTTGTTTTAGGATATTTGGAACTGATTGATACGATCTTTGATATAATTTGTAAGCAGATATGCCTTAGAAGCTGTTTTACTTTTAAAGAATAATAGTTTTATTTTTTAGTTTATGTGGAAAATCAAAAGATTTCAATAAAATAAGTTCCAAGGACTGATTTTAAACCTAATTTAATTTTTCTTTTAGACCTGTCGCGAAATCGCCTTTCAGAAATTCCTATAGAAGCATGTCACTTTGTTTCTCTGGAAAATCTCAACTTGTACCAAAATTGTATTCGTTATATTCCAGAGGCAATTTTAAACCTACAAGCTCTAACATTCTTAAATATTAGGTAAGAATATTGTTTTCTTATTTTAAATTTTTGGTTTTATGTGATCTTTTCGATTTTCCCCTTTCCCTAAAATATTTACCTATATATATGCTATCTATTCATATCAGCAGTTTCTGTATGTGCTCTTGGATATATTAACAGTATTTCCTATGTCCCTCCAGTTTCTCTCTTTATCTTTGGCTTTGCAGTACAGATGCTCCCTGACTTACTACAGTGGGATTACATCCCAGTAAACCCATCTAAGTTGAAAATGCATTTCCCACATAATCCACCAAACATTATAGCCTAGCCTAGCCTACTTTAAATGTGCTCAAAACACTTATCTTAGGCTACAGTTGGGCAAAATCTTCTAACACAAGGCCTATTTTATAATAAAGTATTGAATAGCTGATACAATTTACTAGATAGTGTAGTAAAGTGTGGTTTCTACTGAATGTGTATTGCATTCCCACCATCATAAAGCCAAAAAATTTTAAGTCAGCTGTTGTTAGTTGGGGATGCCTGTAATTAACAAACCTTACTGAGCCATTTGCCTGAGGAGCTTGCAGCAGTCTTGTAGCAGTGCTTCTCCAATTACATTTTCTAATTAGCTTCATTAAATAAGAATAATAGATCTGAAATTACTTTGTTTCTTGTGACCATGTATTTTTGCATATTAAGTTCCGAATGTATGAATGCATTTATTCAACTAGTCTACTCCACTTTCACATCTTAAAATAACTCTTGTTGTTTTATTTCACTATAAAAGTTGCAAATGTTCATTGAATATAATGTGCAAATGTGGAAAAATATAAAGGAAATTCATCAAAATGTATCTTAATTTTATAAGTGATCTTTTCCTTCTGTTTTTCCAGGCTTTTAGTCAAATTTTTAAATGAGTTTTCCTCTTATCATGAAACATTCTTTAAAACTATTTTTGTATGTAATTATTTTGTTGTACAGTTTATATACTGTTGAAAATAAATTTTCCTCTGGGATCTTAGTTTCTTCCAGTTTTTCACCATGATAAAAATAATATTAGTAGAGAATTTTGTATGTAAATGTTTACTTTTCTCTTTCCTTAAGATAGATGTCTGGGAGTGGAATTGTTACTGGATTAAAAAGTGTGGCTTATCATCTCAGTAAAAGATCTTACAAATGGGGAGGGAATTGGTCCTAAGGAATAAGAGGTTAAATTTACATACGTAAAGATCTTATTTATTTTTATCTTGATAGATGTGGGTTGTTTTTTTTTCTTTTTCTTTTGAGACAGGGTTTTACTCTCGTTGCCCAGGCTGGAGTGCAATGGTGTGATCTTGGCTCGCCACAACCTCCATCTCCCGGGTTCAAGCCATTCTCCTGCCTCAGCCTCCCGAGTAGCTGGGATTACAGGCACATGCCTCCACGCCCGGCTAATTTTGTATTTTTAGTAGAGACGGGGTTTCGCCATGTTGGCCAGGCTGGTCTCGAACCCCTGACCTCCGGTGATCCACCTGCCTTGGCCTCCCAGAGTGCTGGGATTACAGACGTGAGCCACTGCGCCCAGCCGATAGATGTGTTTTATTATTTTACTTTTAGTTCTGATTTGCATGTTTTTGTATAAATAAAAATTCTTTACCTGTAACTTAGTTGGTGTGATCTATGAAATCACAACTTACTGCTTTTTTTTCCACAGAGCTACATTTTCACCATTTATGTGCATTTGATTATAATATTGTAATGATGAGGGAAGTAGATTATAAGTTTTGTTTATAATCTTCAGAAGTAAGGAGGATGATATTATCCACCTTTTAAAAAATCTTTTCCTACCTAAATGTTACTTTAATAAAATAATACTATGTTTATGTAGTACCTCATTATTTACAAAGGAGTTATATTCTGCAAGAGCCCTATAAGATAGGTAGGGAGATACTAAGATCTTCAGTTTACAGATGAGAAATCTCTGTAAGATGCAGATTAAGTTCAACACTGTGCCTGTAACCATAAAGCTGACCACCAGTAAAACGAAGGCTAGAACTCCAGTACCCTGTTTGTTTCTTGCAAGACTCATATTTGTTATTTTACTGAGTATAGCGTGAGAAAGAGAGAAAATTTTTCTTCAGTGGTGGACTCTGATTCTTCTCTCTTTCTACTTACCCATTTAGTCGGAACCAACTGTCAACATTGCCGGTACACTTGTGTAATTTGCCATTGAAAGTCTTAATTGCTAGTAATAACAAATTGGTGTCACTTCCAGAAGAAATTGGACACCTTAGACATTTGATGGAACTTGTAAGTTAATATTTTTGATTGTCCAACATGTGTGTGTGTGTGTCTGTGTGTGTGTGTGTATATATATATATATATATGAAACCTTGGAGAGAGAGATGTATACAAAGTCATACCATAGTCTTTTATATGGCAAAGATTTATTATTGATATATGTTTTTGACTTATTTTCCAGTATTGGTAATGAATCATATACTGAATTTTCCGTACTCAAGTGGTTGGCACACAGAATTAAGAACGGAAAGTACAAGCCTAATTGGCCCACACAGATGGGAAAAGGTCATTAGAATTAGGTTCTAACCAATATTAAATGATTTCTGTGTCATTAAATTTTTGAGATATGTTAATATAATTGAATTTTTCAAAATAAATTTGTTTGTATCATCAATATTCTGATTTTTGATTAGCTCCTGTAGGGGAATGGCACTACAAAGGTCAGGTTTATTTTTTGCCTTACATTATATCTTTAGACGCTATCTCCCACTCTATAAAGTAAAATATACTTCATTGCCATGTTTGTTTGTTTGTTTGTTTGTTTTGAGACAGAGTGTTGCTCTGTCACCTAGGCTGGAGTGCAGTGGCGCAATCTCGGCTTACTGCAAGCTTTGCCTCCCAGGTTCACGCCATTCTCCTGCCTCAGCCTCCTGAGTAGCTGGGACCACAGGCGCCCGCCACCATGCCTGGTTAATTTTTTTGTATTTTTAGTAGAGACAGGGTTTCACCGTGTTAGCCAGGATAGTCTTGATCTCCTGACCTTGTGATCTGCCCACCTCGGCCTCCCAAAGTGCTGGGATTACAGGCGTGAGCCACCGCGCACGGCCCTGTTGCCCTGTATTTTCTAAGACACTTAATTGAACTCCTTCACCAAATCACTTCTTGAGTATTTACCTTCTGAGCATGGGAATAACAATTTTCTCATTTAATCACCATAATAATATTATGAATTGATTACTAAAATTATTTTCATTTTATAGCTGAGGAAGCTAGCACTCAAATAGGTTAAATAACTTGCCTAAGGTTATATAACAGAAATAGTATTTGAAACCAGACTACCTTAACTCTTTCTGAAGTGGTCAAATACAATTATGTCCATTAGGATTTAGGGGTATGGTTTCGTGTAGGTTTATTAACAAAGATGGAAGATGGTTATCATAAATTAATACATATGTAATATAGTTGGATCACTTTTTCCAGGTAGATTATGAATATAAGAGGTTACGTGGGAGAATCCACAAATATATTTAAACTAGAGTCTACATTCTAGACCACTATTTTTGGAGCCAGTTAGAACTAGGACATAAAGATCAGAATGTATGTTTATCAGCATCTCTTCAGAACTTGGGTTAAAAACATGAACTAGAAGTAAACTATAATTCAAATTCTTATTTTCAAATCATTTAAACATTTTGTTTCTACTTATTCAATCCTAAATACTTAAAAGGTAGAGATGTGTTATAGAAGCTGCTTTTTGTTTTCTACAAAAGAGGTTAATTGATATCCTCAGTCATATAAGGAACTTGTGGCAGAATAAGAATTAGTGTCCCAGCCAGGCGCAGTGGCTCACACTTGTAATCCTAGCACTTTGGGAGGCCGAGAGGGGCAGATCACCTGAGGTCAGGAGTTCGAGACCAGCCTGACCAACATAGTGAAACCCCATCTCTGCTAAAAATACAAAAATTAGCCAGGCGTGGTGGCACGCACCTGTTATCCCAGCAACTTGGGAGGCTGAGGCAGGAGAATCGCTTGAACCTGGGAGGCAGAGGTTGCAGTGAGCCGAGATCACACCACTGCACTCCAGCCTGGGCAACAGAGTGAGATTCCGTCTGGGAAAAAAAAAAAAAAAGAAAAAAGAATGAGTGTCCCTAAAGCTCTCCATTCCCATCTGATGGTTGTTCAGCAACATCCTTGTTGGTTCGCTCTTTTTTTCCTCTTCATTAAGTGAAAGCAAACTGCTGTTTTCAACATACGTATTTTCTGAGAGATTATACATTGCTATTACCTTTTGGCTCAGACTCGATTTTTCTATGCTTTCAACTTTTTTTTTTTTTCTAGCTAGGATTTGAACCTATATCCTTTCAACTTCTTTTAGAACCATTTTAATGCCTAGAGCATTGGACTCAGAAGTCTAGCTTCTGGCCGGGCACGGTGGCTCATGCCTGTAATCGCAGCACTTTGGGAGGCTGAGGCAGGTGGATCACCTGAGGTCAGGAGTTCGAGACCAGCCTGGTCAACATGATGAAACCCCATCTCTACTAAAAATACAAAAATTAGCTGGGTGTGGTGGTGGGTGCCTGTAATCCCAGCTACTTGGGAGGCTGAGGCAGGAGAATTGCTGGAACCCGAGAGACGGAGGTTACAGTGAGCTGAGATCGTGCTATTGCACTCCAGCTCGGGTGACAACAGTGAGACTCCATCTCAAAAAAAAGAAAAAAAAAAGTCTAGCTTCTGATTCTACTTCAATTATTAATTGGTAGGAAAAGTAAAAATAGTATTTTCTCTAAGGATACTTTAAGGAAATTAACGTTTGAGGCTTATTGAAAAATTTGGCAAGAGGTCTCTTTTTATTCTTTTTTCTTTTTAAAAAAAAGAAAATAGAGACAAGGCCTTACCATGTTGCCCACGCTGGTCTGAAACTCCTGGGCTCACGTGATCCACCCACCTCGGCTTCCCAGAGTGCTGGGATTACAGGCATGAGCCACCATACTCCGCAGCAAGCGGCCTTTTCTAAATAGTAAATGTATTGTTTTCTTTTAGTCATATTGGAAGAATTTTAAGTGTTAATGTGGCAGCTTCCCTCTGTTCATATAATGATGGGTTTACAAATTATTTTGGCTGATCTCAGAATTATGGTATTCTGAATTTATTAATCTTCGAACCTGTAGGTAGTCTCTTTTCAGAACCATTGAATTAAGCTATTAAGTGAGATACCAGAAGGTCTCCCAAACATATCTAATTTTATAGACAGTTTAAAGCAGACAAGTTTGTAATGTTAGGACAATCTTTATTTTGTATCTTTTCGAAATAGGATGTGAGCTGCAATGAAATTCAAACTATACCTTCCCAAATTGGTAACCTGGAGGCCTTGAGAGACCTTAATGTAAGAAGAAATCACCTAGTACATTTGCCTGAAGGTAAGAAACTATGAAATAAGAAACCATGAAATAATTGTTTTATTATTTTAAAGCTCTCTCAGACCAATCAAGACAAAAATGTATAAGGGTTACATCTAGGCTGGGCGCTGTGGCTCCTGCCTGTAATGCCAACACTTTGGGAGGCCGATGAGGGAGGATTGCTTGAACCCAGGAATTCGAGACCAGCCTGGGCAATATAGGGAGTCTGTCTCTACAGAAAATTAACAAATTAGCCCAGGGGGCTGGCGCACTCTTGTAGTCCCAGCTACTCAGGAAGCTGAGGTGGGAGGAGTCCCTGAGCCCAGGAGGCCAAGGCTGCAGTGAGCTGTGGTGGGGTCACTGCACTCTAGCCTGAGCACCAGAAAGAGACCTTTTTTAAAAAAACGGGGTGGGGAGAGAGAGAGAGAGTGTGTGTGTGTCTGTGTGTGTTTGTGTGTGTGTGAGAGAGTATGTGTGTGTTACCTCCAGTGTTTGAAATCTAATGGTTTATTTAATAGTGTTATCTGTTCCATTGTGGATTTTAAAAGCCTCTTCAATGAAAAGGTTTGATAACTCTTGACCTTTGATTTTATTTTTAGATCTTGTCAACCGATGTAATTAATAACTCAGGGTAGGGTCCCTGGAAATTTCAGTAAGCATGACTGTTTGGGGGAAATGTAACATGTTTGGATAAGGGGATAGTGTAGTATAATGAAAAACATTTCTGCAGTTAGCACTCACTTAAAAATGGACTTTGACCTGAACTTAACCGGTCACTGGAGATGTTCAAACAGAGGCTAATGAACCATGTGGAGGTGATGTGTAGAGTGAATGATAAATGGGGTGAGAGACTGCGCTAAGAGACGGGTTATTTACTTAGGCTGACTACAAGCTCTGATATATGTATTTGATAAAAATGATTAAACATTAATGAAGTCTAGTTTATCAATCTTTCACAAATTAATGAAACAGAATGCTAGAAAGGAAGATGAAAATGAGAGCTATTATTTTATGAGATCCAGAATATATATTTCTTCCTATATGTTTCTGCTCATCACCCAGCAGTAAGAGTCATCAGCTCATGGCAAGTCTTGTCTCAACTGTGCTCTCATTTACTTTCCCCTGCACTATTCTCTAGATTAATTTGAATCAAATACAGAAATTTATTGGTAAACATTCCAGAAAAACAAGGAATCTTCTCAAGGTATTTTCATGACAGTGCTTTTCTGGGTTCTTTGACAAAATATGACTTACAGTGTACAATCAATATTTTGTTTGTTTTGAGACAGGGTCTCACTCCCATTACTCAGGCTAGAGTGCAGTGGCACGAACATGGCTCACTGCAGCCTCGACCTCTCAGGTTTAGGTGATCCTCTCACCTCAGCCTCCCAGGTAGCTTAGACTACAGGCACTTGCCACCATGTCACCTACTTTTTGTATTTTTAGTAGAGACGGGGTTTTGCCCTGTTGCCCAGGCTGGTCTCAAACTCCTGGGGTCAAGAGATCCACTTGCCTCAGCCTGTCAGAGTGCTGGGATTATAGGCGTGAGCCACTGCACCTGGCCACAATACATGTTGAATTAACTAATGATGTTTTCGCTTTCCCTGTGGAATTCAAATATTTATACCAATTTGATACAGCATAATATTTAGTTCTAACATACTAGTGGAGCTTTGACATTTTGGATTCCAAGTAAATGTGTAAGAACGTGACCTTTTCAGTCCACTTTTATATACTTACTGCAACCAAAACCTTGCGTGTCTTTCCTCTCACTTGGCTTGTCCAGGAACCTTCACACTTTTTATCCTCAGGGCCTTCCTTATTTTCTCCTGGTTCTGTTTGCTACCAACTCAGGAATGTAAATGAAGGTTAGCAAAACCAAAATCATGACCTCTAGGACCTTATAACCCCAAATTTCTCCCTAGGGTTACCTCTGTACTCAGGACTCGCCTACTGTGGTTGGTCTTCAAAGACTTACTCCTATAATAATATTTAGTGTGAAATCAATTAATGAGAATATTAGGGTTTTAATCAAAATGAAAATTGAGCATTTCAGATGACAATGGAAGCTTAATAGTTTTATCAACTAATTTATTTCTGTATCTTATTTTGATTGTAGACTGCTGACAAAATGGTTTATCACACAAATAGTTTCAATTTTTTTAACAGTTTATTTTATAATCTCAGCACATATAGTTGAACTGAGTTAGCAAGTGAAGCTTTATTCCAACAGCTACATTCGTTCGTGTGGAAGTTTGTGTTACTTAATTGGTAATTTCTAACATTGCAATTTGGTACATGTCATATATCTTTTGTTATATTGCCATTTTGATTTAAAATTAATTTTTACCAAATAATATGTTACATCATTCAAAAAATATTAAAAAATATTAAGAATCTTTTTTTTTTTTTTTTCTTGAGACGGAGTCTCACTCTGTCACGCAGGCTGGAGTGCAGTGGTGCGATCTCAGCTTACTGCAAGCTTCACCTCCTGGGTTCATGCCATTCTCCTGCCTCAGCCTCCCGAGTAGCTGGCATTACAGGCACACACCACCACACCCAGCTAATTTTTGTATTTTTACTTCTTTTTTTTTTTTTGAGACGGAGTCTCACACTGTCGCCCTGGCTGGAGTACAGTGGAGTGATCTTGGCTCACTGCAACCTCTGCCTCCCAAGTAGCTGGGATTACAGGTGCCCGCCACCATGCCCAGTTAATTTTTTTTTTTTTTTTTGTATTTTTAGTAGAGACGGGGTTTCATTATGTTGGCCAGGCTGGTCTCAAACTCCTGACCTCATGATCCGCCTGCCTCAGCCTCCCAAAGTGCTAGGATTACAGGCGTGAGCCACCGTGCCCGGCCTTTTTTGTATTTTTAGTAGAGACGGGGTTTCACCATGTTGCCCAGGATGGTCTTGATCTCCTGACCTCGTGATCCGCCTGCCTCAGCCTCCCAAAATGCTGGGATTACAGTCGTGAGCCACCGTGCCCAGCCAAGAATCTTAAATAGTGTCGTTCCCCTGCCTCAAACTTCCCTGCACACCAATTTCAATGGCCAAAAGTATGTACCTTCATTAAACTCCTTTGACTCTTTTTTTTTTTGAGATAGGGTCTCACTCTGTTGCCCAGGCTGGAGTGCATGGCGTGACCAGAGCTCACCGTAGCCTCGAACTCTGTGGGCTGAAGCCATCCTCCCATCTGAGCCTTCCAAGTAGCTGGGACTGCAGACATGCACCATCACACCCAGAAAATTTTGTATTGTTTTGTAGAGACAAGGGTCTCACCATGTTCCCCTGGCTGGTCTCCTGGACTCAAGCAATCCACCCACCTCAGCCTCCCAAAGTGCTGAGATTACAGGCATGAGCCACAGTGCCCAGACTGCTGACATATTTCTAACTGATATGTTTTTATAGCTATTGCTGGTTTGGGCAACTTTGACACTTATGTCAGCTTCCTATTGTGATGATAGATGAGGATTTAGTTTCCTTACACTGTCACCATACCATGCCTTTACTGCTTTCCTCCCATCTTCCCAGTGTAGTTTTAGCACAACTTCTGATTAAATTGTTACTCAGTGTTCACATTACTGTAATTATGTAAACATTGTTCCCTGCCAATTCAAGTGATGTACTCTGATTTTATTTCCTTTCTTGTACATGTTTTTTTCTTTTTTTTTTTGAGACAGAGTCTTGCTCTGTCGCCCAGGCTGGAGTGCAGTGGCATGATCTTGGCTCACTGCAGCCTCCGCCTCTCGGGTTCAAGCAATTCTCCTGCCTCAGCCTCCTGAGTAGCTGGAATTACAGGCGCCCGCCACCATGCCCAGCTAATTTTTGTATTTTTAGTAGAGATGGGGTTTCACCATGTTGGTCAGGCTGGTCTCGAACCCCTGACCTCGTGATCCACCCGCCTTGGCCTCCCAAAGTGCTGGGATTACAGGCGTGAGCCACCACGCCCGGCTTTTTTTTTTTTTTTCCCCTGGAGGTAATAGTTTCTTATCTTTTTATATGCTTATTTTTATGTGTGTCTATGGCTAATTCCACCCTCTTTTTCCAGCAGGCTTTCTGGTCAGACCAGATTCTCTATCCCTTTTTTCCCTGCACTTCCACCTCACTGAGCCCTTTTTTTCTCTTCTGATGTGGACTGGCTGTTCTCTAGTATTGCTGCCCAGCTTTTTTTTTTTTTGAGACAGTCTCACTCTGTCACCCAGGCTGGAGTACAGTGGCGCGATCTCGGCTCACGGTAACCTCTGCCCCCCCGTCCCGGGTTCAAGTGATTCTCTGCCTCAGCCTCCCAAGTAGCTGGGATTATAGGAGCCCGCCACCACGCCTGGCTAACTTTTGTATTTTTAGTAGAGATGGGGTTTTACCATCTTGGCCAGGCTGGTCTTGAACTTCTGACCTCGTGATTCACCCGCCTTGGCCTCCCAAAGTGCTGGGATTACAGGCGTGAGCCACTGCACCTGGCCTGCTGCCCAGCTTTCTTTCTTCTGTGTTAAATACTCTGAGTCCTAGACTCTGGATCTTCCTCAGTTACTCCCTGTTTTGCTGGAGGACATCTCCTAGTAGCTTCCCAAGAACACGTCATGGGAGAACATATTTTTGAGACTTCACTGGAAAATAAATGTCTTTATTCTATGTTCCCCCTTGATTGTTTGATTATAAATCCAGGTTGAAAACTATTTTCTTTCAAGACTTTTAAGTGTTTTTTCACTTTCCACTTTCAGTGTTTAAAATTGATGGTTGAAAATCTGATGCCATTCATTCTTAATCCCAGTATTTTGTGACCAGCTTTTGCTCTCTGGAAGATTTTAAGATGGTCCCTGTTTATCTGCTGCTCTGAAATTTTATGTTAATGTGCCATAGCATGAGTTGTTTTAATTTAATGTGCTGGATACTTGGTGGGCCCCTTTCCAAACCAGAGATCCATATCTTCCGTTTTGGGAAATTGTTTTATATCTTTTTTTTTTTTTTTAAATAATTTTCTTTCTTCTGGTTTCTCTGTCCCCTTTTTGAATTATTTTGAATTGGATGTTATTAGACCTCTTTGTTGATCCTCTTTGATTTTTTTTTTTTTTTTTTTTTTTTTTTTTTTTTGAGACAGAGTCTTGCTCTGTCTCCCAGGCTGGAGTGCAGTGGCTCAATCTCGGCTCACTGCAAGCTCCGCCTCCCGGGTTCACGCCATTCTCCTGTCTCAGCCTCCCGAGTAGCTGGGACTACAGGCGCCCGCCACCACGCCCAGCTAATTTTTTGTATTTTTAGTAGAGACGGGGTCTCACCGTGTTAGCCAGGATGGTCTCGATCTCCTGACCTCGTGATCCGCCTGCCTCGGCCTCCCAAAGTACTGGGATTACAGGCTTGAGCCACCGCGCCCAGCTGATTTTTCTTATATTTTTTATTATTCATTTCTGTGTCATTTTGTGTTACCTTATGGTAAAATAGTTCCAACCATTCTTATGAATTTTTAATTGCTACCATTATATTTTTTCATTTCTACAAACTCATTCTGTGATTTTTAAAAAATATTCCTTTTATGTTTCAGTGATTAAAGACCTTCTCTTTCTGAAACTAAAGATAGTCTAGCTTTTCAAAATTTTCTTCTGCTTTCTATAAAATACCTGTTTCTTCTGAGTTCCTTTTTTTGGTTAGTTAGTTGGTTTTGATGTTGGAGATGTCTAAATGTCTGTGGATCATATACTATCTTTATATGGCTGATTAGAAGTTCTCAGTATACTGGGCAGAAATTGTATAATGGTAATTAAACAACAAGCTGTGTATTTTATTAGAAGAAATTCTGTATCATTATATAAAGGCCTTTTATATGGGACTGTGAAGTTTATCCAGAGAAAGAAGCTCCATTTCTTCTTCGTTATTGTGTATATTCTTAAGTACAGCCATTCCTGGGATGAAGTAGGATAGGGTGGGGTGAGAAGGTGCTGAGGTCTTAATGTTAAGTGTGTAGACTTTGACTTAACTCCTCCATTTTTAGCTGGCAACTCCTCCTGACTTTTGTCATCCTATTGTGCCTGGGATCCCTTAGTTCCGAGCATTTTTGATTCAATTTCACTAGAAAATAACTTGCTGATTCCTGGGAACATTGGAGAAGGATAGTGCCCCAGCTGTGTTAGTGGGGGCTGTTGACCCAGGCATTTAACTGTTCTTTATGTAGAGTGTTATCTAATCCTTTTGTTATCCTCACCTTCTTGTGGTATCAGGGCCTCCAGCTTCTGAGACTTTCTGTAGTTCTGAGCGGGTCAAAGCTGCTTTTTATTAGTAATCCTGTCTATAGGCAACTGGATCTCATTTTTACCACTTTGCTACCACTTTTCTCATTTTTACCACTTTGCTACCAGTTAATCACTAAAAGAGAATGGGAGTAAATATCTATGTTAAAATCACATTTAACTAGAAGCTTTGTAAAAATTCTCTAGTTGTAAAACATCATTAATTGTTCATTTCCATTTTACCTTCTTGCAGAGCTGGCGGAGTTGCCTTTGATACGGTTAGACTTCTCATGCAATAAAATTACCACAATCCCTGTTTGTTATCGGAACCTCAGGCACCTACAGACGATCACCCTAGATAACAATCCACTACAATCACCTCCTGCACAGGTAAACCATAGTGGAAGCATCAGGTAAACCATGGTGGAAGCATCAGGTAAACCACGGTGGAAGCATCTGGTGAACCATAGTGGAAGCATCAGGTAAATCATAGTGGAAGCATCAGGTAAACCACAGTGGAAGCATCAGGTAAACCATAGTGGAAGCATCAGGTAAACCATAGTGGAAGCATCAGGTAGACCATGGTGGAAGCATCAGGTAAACCATGGTGGAAGCATCAGATAAATCATGGTGGAAGCATCAGGTAAACCATAGTGGAAGCATCAGGTAAACCATAATGGAAGCATCAGGTAAACCATAGTGGAAGCATCAGGTAAACCATAGTGGAAGCATCAGGTAAACCATAGTGGAAGCATCAGGTAAACCATAGTGGAAGCATCAGGTAAATCATAGTGGAAGCATCAGGCAAATCATAGTGGAAGCATCAGGTAAACCATAGTGGAAGCATCGCATGGACTTTTTTTGGACAAAGGATGAAATTTAAAATTTCATGTACATTTATCATTCGGTTAGAAAATAATTTCTTTTAAAATGGATTCACATACATATGTATTTTTGAGAAGCCTTGAATTAATGGATTAGAAGATAATGTTTCCAGAAGTATTTTTCCTTTCTCTAAATTGGTATTTCTTTTTAAATTGAAGAATTCTTCCCTAAATTTTTTTCTAATAAAATTTTAGTTAATTTCTTAATTTTTTCTTGTAAAATTTTAGTTAATTTCTTTATTTTTTTCTAGTAAAATTTGAGTGTAGACACCATAAATGCTAGAGACAGGCCAGGTGTGGTGGCTCATGCCTGTAATTCCAGCACTTTGGGAGGCCGAGGTGGGCAGATCATGAGGTCAGGAGATCGAGATCATCCTGGCCAACATGGTGAAACCTTGTCTCTACTAAAAATACAAAAATTAGCCGGGTGCGGTGGTGGGCGCCTGTAGTCCCAGCTACTCAGGAGGCTGAGGCAGGAAAATCACTTGAACCCAGGAGGTGGAGGCTGCAGTGAGCTGAGATGGCGCCACTGCACTCCAGCCTGGGCGACAGGGTGAGACTCCGTCTCAAAAAAAAAAAAAAAATGCTAGAGACAGATAAAAATACTCAGCTTTCAGAGCTAAAAACTATCAGTAGATTTCTTTTTCTGATCATTGTTATTATAACCTTCCTAATTCTAAAGTCACAAATTCCTACTTTAGACAGTTTGGTCATTTGTTTACCAGTGACTGAAGTGAAGCTATACAGTAATAATTATAAAGTAGCTTTACATGTAGATGCTGGACATCCTACAACCTAGAAATTTTTGCCAACTCATTATTTTCCCTCAGCTCTTTTATTTTTTTATTTTTTTGTGAGAAGGAGTCTCGCTCTGTTGCCCAGGCTGGAGTGCAGTGGCGCGATCTCGGCTCTCTGCAAGCTCCGCCTCCCGGGTTCACACTATTCTTCTGCCTCAGCTTCCCAAGTAGCTGGGAGTACAGGTGCCTGCCACCATGCCTGGCTAATTTTTTGTATTTTTAGTAGAGACGGGGTTTCACCGTGTTAGCCAGAATGGTCTCAATCTCCTGACCTCATGATCCACCTGCCTCGGCCTCCCAAAGTGCTGGGATTACAGGTGTGAGCCACCGCGCCCGGCCCCCTTAGCTCTTTTTAACTCTGCAGTTTATTGACGATTTTGTACAAGCATATGTTACTCTTTTTTTTTTTTTTTTTTTTTGAGATGAAGTTTTGCTCTTGTTGCCCAGGCCGGAGTGCAATGGTGCGATCTCGGCTTACTGCAGCCTCCGCCTCCTGGGTTCAAGCGATTCTCCTGCCTCAGCCTCCCGAGTAGCTGGGATTACAAGCGCCTGCCACCATGCCCGGCTAATTTTTTGTATTTGTAGTACAGACGGGATTTCACCGTGTTGGTCAGGCTGGTCTTGAACTCCTGACCTCAGGTGATCCACCCACCTCAGACTCCCAAAGTGCTGCAATTACAGGTGTGAGCCACTGTGCCCGGCGGCATATGCTACTCTTTATGGCAACTATAAAACTTTATGAGTAAACTTCCTAACAATAGAAGGGTCTTATAAGCCTCAAGAATTTGTGTTTTGACTTCTGGGACAAGTAGCAACAGAAATATATGTAATGTTTCATGATTTCCTGCTCTTCTCTCTCAAAGCAGAATCAAAAACATAGTTGTATATGATTGTTGGATTCCTAAAAGTAAAAGTTGCTTCATGTAATCTAATGAGGAGAAATGCTTTAAATCTCTGACTATGCAAACTAGTCAGTGTGATAAGTTTACTTGGTATTTGAACAGTATAATCAAAAGTTATTTATTTATATATTACTGAAATGTATTAGTGACTAGAAAATGAAAACATATTTACCAGTTAAACACCTAAAATAACACTTAACCAAATAATATAATTTATTAGTTTTTAAATATTACTGTATGTACTTGATAGAAATGCCTCCCTTTCCCAATGTATGTTACATAAAATGTTGATATGATAAAAAGGAGCATACTTCAGATGAGTAATAATTTGGCTACATCTGTGTGACTTTATTTAGATATGTATAAAAGGCAAAGTCCACATATTTAAATACCTGAACATACAAGCTTGTAAGATTGCTCCAGATCTGCCGGATTATGATAGGAGACCGTTGGGTTTTGGCTCCTGGTAAGTATATTCTGTCCCTTTATCTATCATATTTTTTGTACAGAGAATCAAATAAAATGGATACTTAAATTTGCCTGAATGTTTGACTAAAGGGAAATAACCTGTTTTAACACTGTTATTCTCAGAATGCTTGTATTGTAAAGTTGATTACCTAGATCTGGCAAAGTCTAGTTCTAAGGGTTTCTCAACCTTGGCACTGTTGACATTTTAGATCAGATAATTCTTTGTTGTGATGGGCTGTCCTGTACATTGTAAGACATTTACCAGCATCCTTGGTGTCTGCCCATTAGATAGATGCCAGTAGTACCCTCGCAAAGTCTCCAAATGTCACCTTGGGGCCCTCCAGTTGAAAACTACTGGTCTGAGTGACTTGAACGCTAACTTTAGCTCTGCTGCTGAGGTAACTAGCCGAAGGCAAGTCATTCCTACTTTTTGAGTTTCATTTTTTCTACAAGGAGTCAAGAGTTGGATTTGTTGACCATTAACATCACTTCAGGATCTTTTAATCTATGAGTCCCTCAGCTACACAGCCTGTGACTTATAAGGTCATCTGCTTGGCAGTCCCAACCATCTGGAACAATCTCTTTTTTTTGAAACAAGGTCTTACTATGTTGCCCAGCCTGGTCTCAAACTCCTGAGCTCAAGCATTCCTCCCACCTCAGCCTCCTGAGTATGGAGCAGTCTTAAGTAGCAAGAATTAAATTCTTAGGCCTTTAAACAAGCAGGATAGATGTTTCAGTCAAAGTGAAGTAATGTTTATGGACTTTACTCAAAAGAGAACCTCTCAGGCCTTCTCTTGAACCTCTCAAATTTTGCTTAAAAGCACAGTCCTAGTAAACTCGCCTCATTGGACGAACAAGAATTGCAGAGGTGTGATTGTTTTGAAGCTGGATAATAATGAGTACATGAGGTCTCATGCTATTCTGTTTGCTTTGTTTCTATTTGGAATTTTTCATATTAAAAAATTAAAGCCCATTTAGTTCTAATAGTTAAGTGACTGCCACATTTCTTGTTTTTTAGAAAATTGATCTGTTTAATTTCAAATTTTAATTGTTAAAATAACAAACTTTGCAGTAACAGAGTCTCTTTTCGGCAGCCATGAAGAACTGTACTCAAGTCGCCCTTATGGAGCCCTTGATTCAGGCTTCAATAGTGTGGACAGTGGTGATAAGAGATGGTCAGGGAATGAAGTAAGTGTTTTTTATGTTCCGTGTGTTATAACACCTGATTAAGAGAAAACAGAATGATGAAAATGAAAAGCGTCTTAACTGGATTCAGTTTCTCACTACATAAAATACAGAAAAGTCAAGGTGGAGGCAAGATTCCCACCCTCTCCAGCAGAATTGGCATTCTGCGTCCTTACCGGCTTTCTGTCACGTGGATTTCCGCCTGTTTCCTCATTGCCTCATGGAAATAGTTTCATATCATAGAAAGGCAAACAGGAGCTGAGCCAGTTGAAACTGAAGCCTACAATCTGAGGTGGGGGGTAATCTCGAGCAGAGGTGCTAGATGGTGAGAAAACAAGTAGGACTTTCGGCTGATGGGTAGAGACAAGGACCTTAGTAAAGAGTATTCATGTGCTCAAGAGGAATAACTTCCTGGCTAATTCTGTCGTTTTTCTCGTTTTTAAATTATTGATATTATGTTTTCTGCTCTTAAAAATTACTGTGTCCACAGAGGTCTACAGAAGAAAAAAAGTAAAAAAATAAATAAAAATTACTAATGTGTAATATTTTAGCTATGCATTAAGTTATTAAGTAAACTTTTGTTAGCAAGACTGATAACCTACTATTTATAACATTGTTTTACTGTGAATTGAAACCAAATTAATTTTAGACCACATCCCATTTGAAATTTGGAATTACTTGTGTTTGTATGTCTTGGTGGGTGGGTTCATAAATGTGGCTGTATCAATACAGATATATATGTAGATATTTTAAATCTATATATATATAATTTATGGAGTCATGAATCTTTTATATTTTTTGAGACAGAGTCTTGCTCTTTCACCCAGGCTGGAGTGCAGTGGCACGACCATGGCTCAAGCAGTCCTCCCACCTAAACCTCCTGAGTAGCTGGGACTACAGGCTTATGCCACCATGCCTGGCTAATTAAAAAAAATTTTTTTTTAGAGACATGCTCTCCCTATATTGCCCAGGCTAGTCTCAAACTCCTGGGCTTGTCATTCCCATCTTGGTCTCCCAAAGTGTTGGGATTATAGGCATCAGCCACCACTCCAGACCAGATTTTTATTTTTTTGAAATAGGATCTCGCTTTGTCGCACAGGCTGGAGTGCAGTGGTGGAATCCTGTCTCATTGCAGCCTCGAACTCCTGGGCTGAAGCGATCGTCTCGCCTCAACATCCCAAGTATTAGGATTACAGGCATGTGTGAGCACATCTAGCTAATTTACTCCTGGCCTCAAGTGATCCTCCTGCTTTGGTCTCCCAAAGCGCATGGATTACAGGCATGATCTGCCAGGCTCTAAAATGATTGTTTTTAATGTTTCTGCTTCTTTTTTAAGCCTACAGATGAATTTTCAGATCTGCCTCTTCGAGTAGCAGAGATTACTAAAGAACAAAGACTACGAAGAGAAAGCCAGTACCAAGAGAACCGCGGCAGTTTGGTAGTAACAAACGGCGGAGGTAAACATAATTCCGGTGACAGCTAAAGTGTTTGCAACCATTTAACTTTTTAAAGTTGTCTTTTTCATACCCACTCCTTTTGTTGGTGTATCTATAGCTTCTTCACTCTTCTTTTAAAGACTTCTTTTCATATATGATTGAAAAATACTATTTTCCATTGGGATGAAACTATGATTTCTGGTTTCAGTCAGAGTTAAAATACACTATTTCTCCCTTGTTTTTATTTTGGGAGGAAACTTTATTAGAGACAGTACACCTGGAGCAGATCTTTGTTAATCTGGATTTAATCACGACCTTTTGAAGTAACATTCTCCCTTTTTAAGATTCTTGCTGTGGTCATTATTTGATCTCTTTTAGGAATTTAGTCCTTTTTTTTTTTTTTTTCAGTGTTTACCTTTTCTTCACCTGGAATTGTCAGATGCTCTTCAAAGTCATCTGAATCACAGTTTTCCTTATTCTGACATTAAAAAATTTGTAGTTCATTAGCAAGCAGCACTCTCTCTACTTGCTTATACTTCCGAAGCAGACTCTTGATTTTCGCATTCAATTCTGTATTGCTTGAATTGGTTTGAATTTAATGTTTAATGTTTAATTTCATATTTAAATTTTGAGGGCCAGTTATAATGGAAAATAACTTTGATTTTCCAGAAACCTATTGCTTATCCGAGGAGAGCTTTCATTTCTCAGTGACGATTTCAATTAAATGGTTTGCTGTCCTTTTCCTTACCATCTTAGATTCTTTACTCCTGTCGTTACCATTTCATTTACATTTCAGTAGTTGTCTTTTAAGTGTTTCTCTCATATGAGGTATCTTTCTCCATCAGTTTATTTAAGACTTAAAATAATGTTGAGATCTGTGCCGGTATGATAGCCACTAGCCACATGTGATAATTATTGAGTATTTGAAATGTGTTTTTTTAGGCTGGGCGTGGTGGCTCACGCCTGTAATCCCAACACTTTGGGAGGTTGAGGCGGGTGGATCACTTGAGGTCAAGAGTTTGAGACCAGCCTGGCCAACATGGTGAAACCCCATCTCTACTAAAAACCGAAAAAAAAAAAAAAAAAAAAAAAAAAGCAGGGCATAGTGGCATATGCCTGTAATCCCAGCTACTCGGGAGGCTGAGGCAGGAGAATCACTTGAACTCGGGAGGTGGAGGTTGCAGTGAGCCAAGATCACGCCACTGCACTCCAGCCTGGGTGACAGAATGAGACTGTATCTCGAAAAAAAATCAGAAATGTGGTTTTTCCAAATTGATATGTATTGTAAGTATAAAATACACATCAGATTTTGAAGACTTCCTTTGAAAAAAAGCGTGTAAAATAGTAATATTTTGCATTGATTATATGTTGAAGTGATATTTAGACATATTAGACAATGTAAAATATTAAAGTTAATGCTGCCTCTTTTACTTTAAAAAATATGGCTACTAGAAAATTTCAAACGACATATGTGGTTCACCTTCATGGCTTGTGTTATTTTTCTCTTTGGCCACACTGGTCTAGATTGGATGAAGAAGTAAAGTTACTTTCTTCAGAAATCGTCTTAATATAAACCATTAATTTAGTCAGAAAAGTTTTAGCACATTTAAAAAATGCATTTATGTACCTGGTTTCTAATGTGGATGTAAACTTAGAACCTTTTCATCTTTTTTAGCTATTAATAAAACTCTAATAACTCAAAATTCAATTTTATATTAATTGTAGTCACAGAATTATTTGTCAATAATTGAGTCAGAAGACTAAATTGAGAAATAGGCTTCCCCAAGTTCACTGTTCCAGCAACTGCGATTTTTAGGCAGCCTGTAGAACGTCATGAAGTAACAGGTTGTGGTTTAATGCATCTCTGGAAAAACTATCTTAGTAGGAAGTTTTTTTTTCTAGTGTGCCATTTTAAGTAGTTGTTTCATTACTTTTAAACTTAAAAATAATGGGGGATTCCCAAACTTAGCAGATGAACAAGATGTGGCTAAAAATAATTTATATACGTCTCCTCACCCTAAAGCATTTTGAGAAGAAGAAACTCCTCAAATGAATCCCTTCCCATCCATAAACTATTATAAAATATCTACATTGCTGACCTCTAGCAGATAGTTTTCCAAATAGGACAATCTTTGTTCTGATCTTTTTTGTTTCTGCTTAATTGACAACAATTACAGGAAGGGAGATAGTAGTCAGAAACTCTTTCTTTCTCGAGTCCAGTTTACTCCTACCTTTTCTCTTTTTTGTGTGTGGCCTTTGACTTTCTCTTGAGTTGACTGTGTTCGGTTTTCCACCTGCCATCTCCTCACGGAGATATTAAGCCCCAGACCTAAAACACGAAAACACAAAGATGCACCTTTCAGTCTTTAAAAATTGGTCTTCGCTCTTTGTCTCACAAACTGAAACTACTGTGTTTAAAACAGTAAGGAGCTGTCCAAAGAAAAATGGTAGAGGTCTCTATTTCAATAATTATCATCAATTGCTACATTCTTTAGTGAACTAGGACTAAGGTTTTCTGGAGCCTATTTTTGTGAGTGGCCATGAACTAAATAATAAACACTTGTGTGCCAGGCACGTTGGCTGATGCCTGTAATCCCAGCACTTTGGGTGGCCACAGTGGGCGGATCGCTTGAGCCCAGGAGTTGGAGACCAGCCTGGCCAACATGGTGAAACCCCGTCTCTACTAAAAATACAAAAGTTAGCCGGGCGTGGTGGTGCACACCTGTAATCCCAGCTACTTGGGAGGCTGAGGCAGGAGAATCGCTTGAACGTGAGAAGCAGAGGTTGCAGTGAGCCAAGATTGCACCACTGCACTGCAGCCTGGATGACAAAGGGAGACCCTGTCTCAAAAAAACAAAACAAAATAAAATATAAGTAAAATTAATTTAATTTTTTTTTTGTTTTTGAGACGGAGTCTTGCTATGTCACCCAAGCTGGAGTGCAGTGGTACGGTCTTGGCTCACCGTAACTTCTGTCTCCCGGGTTCAAGCAATTCTCTTGTCTCAGCCTCCCGAGTAGCTGGGACTACAGGCGTGTGCCACTAAGCCCAGCTAATTTTTGTATTTTTAGTAGAGACGGGATTTCAGCATATTGGTCAGGCTTGCCTTGAACTCCTGACTTCAGGTGATCCACTCACCACCTCCACCTCCCAAAGTGCTGGGATTACAGGCGTGAGCCACCAACCTTGGACATAAAATGGGTAAAAAAAAAAAAAAAAAAAAAGACTTAAGTAATTTAAAGTTTTTATCATCCCTCCCACTTTCAAAATAGAAAATCATGGGGAAAAGGAAATAAGTAAATGTCTTTTATTGGCTATCTAATTTGAATGTTTTTTTCTGGTGTGTGTGTGTGTGTGGGTGTGTGTGTGGTGTATACAGTGGAACATGATCTGGATCAGATTGACTACATAGACAGCTGCACCGCAGAGGAAGAGGAGGCCGAGGTGAGACAGCCCAAGGGACCAGACCCAGACAGCCTTAGTTCACAGTTTATGGCGTATATTGAACAGCGGCGAATCTCTCATGAGGTAGTACACAGATTGAAGCCTAAATATGTTGCTATCCCTTCATAAAAATAATTCATAATAGTATAAAGTTTTGTTATATCAGTGATTTGTTGACTGAAGCCTAATTGTTTTCATTATGTTCACTTCTGATTTCAGTCCTGAGTTTTTCAGATTTATTCAGAAAACTCAGACAGCAGCCTCAAGTAGGCTTTAGGTTTATTTTTCAAACAAGAAGAAAGATTTCAGAATTTTGCAGGAGGAATAAAAGAAGTCTAGGTACTGTTAAGGCCTTGGAAGAAAGTACAAAGAAAAATACAGTGATGCTTTTCATTGTTGTTTTTATTGCTTTTTTATTGTTACTAACTGATAAATCATAGTTTGGTCAGTAGTTAATTAACAGTTAAACCAAAAAGTTGACTTTTGTGGCAACATGCAGACTTAACCATAGAATTTTTATAATATGCTGAATTATATTGGAGCTTTTGTGCTAAGTCACACAGAATGTAAATTGTTTGCTATTAAAGTTCTTGGGTATCTCTTAAGTGGAGCATTGAATTGCCTTAGAAAACAAATGTGCATTCAGCCCACTACAGAATCTCTGCCAATTCCCCAAGGGTCTCAGATAGAATAGCATTCTTCAGTCTATCTTGTCAGCATAATAAAATGGCTTCACTTTAGTGGATGTGATGTTGATGTCTGGAGCTGGTTTCAGGCTCTGAGCAGTGATTATTTGAGAAACACTTGGGCCCTTTTAGAGAATGATGTATTATCCTTTTAGAAATAGAGAAGAATCTCTTTGGTCTGAGACAGCTAAAAGGAAAGAAAAAAAAAGAAATAGAGAATAATCATTTCAAGTGGGACATGTTGTAGAGTGATATTATCATTCTTTATTTAATGAAGCAGAGTCACTCTGTCGCCCAGGCTGGTGTGCCTTGGCACGATCTCGGCTTACTGCAGCCTCTGCCTCCCAGGTTCAAGTGATTGTCCTTCCTCAGCCTCCCGAGTAGCTGGGATTACAGGCACCTGCCACCATGCCCGGCTAATTTTTATATTTTTAGTAGAGACGGGGTTTCACCATGTTGGCCAGGCTGGTCTCAAACTCCTGACCTCGGGTGATCTGCCCGCCTCAGCCTCCCAAAGTGCTGGGATTACAGGTGTGAGCCACCGCACCCAGCCAGTATTATCATTCTTTTTTTTAAAAAAAGGGCCTTGGTTTTTCCTATCTGAATACTTTTGAACACCGTATTTTTTGTTGGTAAAGAGACATACTTGTATTTAAAGTTGGATAAAATTAGATAAGTCAAAGTCCTACAGCCCAGAGATGGCAGTGTACTAGGTGACTGATGAAACTACTTGTTGAGGCTGCTGGAGCAAGGGGCAACTAACTATTTTGCAATAAAATTAAAAATGACACATTATAATCCTTAAAGGAATTCATTTTCTTTTTTCCTGGTCTTTCTCTTTGATCATGTTATGGTTACTTAGGCTGTATAAATGGAGTATCTCTACTAAAAGTGAAAATGCCTATTATACTACTATAAAAAAATAGTATTTCTTTAATTCATTGTATTGTTTTGTAATAATATTTTTAAAATTCTGGCTGCCTGTTACGTATGGTAGTCTTTATGACTTCTGTGTCATAAAGCTTTCGTAAAATTTAGCATCTGTGAAAATGTGATGAGGCAGCATTATTTTAGATGGTTTCACAACCAGTGAAGTATCTTTTTATTTTCCTGAACACTATCTAAAAATGGAATGTTAAAAACTAACCTATGTGAGGTGTTAAACACTCTACTATTATTTAATTTTATTATAATACTTGTCACATACATAGACCATTCCTGTCTGAACATGGTATGATTTTTTTTTTAATTAAACCAATGTCACATTCATTTTGTCATGAAAATTTCGTGTGCCTCTTAGAATAATTTTAGATAATTGCAGTATCATAAAACTAGGATGGGGCTGGACATGGTGGCTCACACCTGTAATCCCAGCACTGTGGGAGGCCAAGGCAGGTGGATCACTTGAGGTCAGGAGTTTGAGACCAGACTGGCCAACATGAAGAAACGCTGTCTCTACTAAAAATATATATTAAAAAAAAAAAACTTAGCTGGGTGTCATGGCAGGTGCCTGTAATCCCAGCCACTCGGGAGGCTGAGGCACGAGAGTCACTTGAACCTGGGCAGCGGACATTGCAGTGAGCCGAGATTGTGCTACTGCACTCCAGCCTAGGTGACAGAGCAAGATTCTGTATCCAAAAAAAAAAAACTAGGGTGGTAAGCCACTGGTACAGCGTCCTAGGAGAGATTTGTGTTTATTGTTTAAAGTGGTGTAGCTTGGCCTGGTGGCTCCTTCCTGTAGTCTCAGCCACTCGGGAGGCTGAAGTAGGAAGACTGCTTGAGCCCGGCAGTTTGAGGCCGGCCTGGGCCACATAGCGACACTCTGTCTCCAGATAAGCAAAAATTTTAAAATGGTGTCTTCACTAAAATTAGAGAAATTATTTTTGCATCAGAGTTGTAGAATTGTAGTTTATTATTTGGGATCTCATGTCCAGACTTTAAGACAGTCAGTTGTTAGCCCTTTGAAGTAACTCACCAAAAGTTTCTAATGATGTGTGATATACCTGTTTCTTGGAGGTAGATGCTATTTCTTGGAAGTAGATGGTAAGTAGTTTTATGTTTGATTTGTAGATATCCTTTTTGGGAAAGTTGTTTTCTTATTTTTCCCTTGATGAATAACCATTTTGATGATTATTTTTGGTGTTGAAACAAGATTGTATTGCTTCTATAGGTTTTCCTTTGATAACCTTTAATCCTCTACCTTTGATTTATAATTTTATTTTTCAGTGCGTGGTCTGTATTTTAAACCAGTTTAATTTTCCTCAGTAATACTTTTTGAAAATGACGTTTTACTCTTTGGTTTGTAGATAAGTAAAATTGCCAATAATATTTTCCTTTTAAATACGGTATTTTACCATAAATAGAAATTACTTTTTGTTTTGTCTTGATATTCACCGACACACTCAAGACTGTTTGTATGAGTATGATAAGAGACAATTTGTTGTGATGGATAAATAAAGAAATGTAACCTGCCCAGTGAACTCACTATTACCAGAAATATTCAAGAGAAACTGAGCAAATGTTAGGGTAGGGTAGGTGGGAATTTCTGTCCTAAATGGAAGTCTGTTAGTGACCTCTTCGGTTCCTTTCTAATTCTAACATCTTATTATTCAGTAAATATTACTGTGCTTGGTCACTGTAATGTATATAATACAGTGAGAAGGAAATCTACTTTCTTATAAAATAAAATAAATGTTTGTGGATTGTGAATGTTTTTGTTTATTAAAGCAGCAGTATAGCATATGATGCTTTTAAACTTAAAGTTTACATTTGAAGAGTCTATTAAAATGTTTTTTAGTGTAATATATAAATTAAATGACAAATTGGATGTGAACTGTGTAATCGCAGTGTTCTGGATTAATATACTAAATTTATTTATTTCTGTCCTCTGGCCTAGGGTTCACCAGTAAAGCCAGTAGCCATTAGGGAGTTTCAAAAAACAGAAGATATGAGAAGATATTTACATCAAAACAGGTTTGAAAAACCAATTCTACTTAATTTGTTTCTGTCTTAATCATGAGAGCATAAAGTAATTTTGGTTTTATGCAGATCTGTGTGTAATAAAGATGTTTACATGGCATGTATTTAGAACTGAGCGACGGTGTGCTTTTTTGTACTCATGCCATAGAAAAGGTAAAAACTGATTTGATTCTAAATTGAGACCATCTAAATCATTACCTACACAGTTAATCGATCTGAAGATACTTAGTAGCAATGAGATTTTGTGGTGAAGCTATATGGATTCATGCACAAAAAGGGCTAAAAGAATTTCAGGACTGGGCATAGTGGCTAACACTTGTAATCCCAACACTTTGGGAGGCCAAGACGGGAGGCTTGCTTGAGCCCAGGAGTTTGAGACCAGTCTGAGCATCATTCTACCCCTCTACAAAAAGAAAAAAAAATAGCCTGGCATGGTGGTGCATGCCTGTGGTCCCAGCAACTCAGAGGCTGAGGTGGGAGGATCGCTCGAACTGGGAGGGTGAGACTGCAGTGAACCCAGTTTGTGCCATTGCAGTCCAACCTGGGCAACAGAGTGAGACCCTGTCTCAAAAAAAAAAAAAAATACAAAATACAAAAAACGAATTTCGAGAGTTCTAATTTTTTTTAACTTACATTTTTGACTGGATAACAGAGAGAAATAGTCAGAGACAGTGATATGTATCACCAGTCCTGTCTCCGTTAATACACTCTTTCCACTGTACTTGGTGCCTCTCAGAATATTTTGAAAATTAGGCCCTGTGCGGTGGCTCATATCTGTAATGCCAGCACTTTGGGAGGCTGAGGCAGGTGGATCATTTGAGGTCAGGAGTTCGAGACCAGCCTGGCCAACGTGGTGAAACGCCGTCTCTACTAAAAATACAAAAAATAGCTGGGTGTGGTGGCACACGCCTGTAATTCCAGCTACAGGTGGCACATGCCTGTAGTCTCCAGGCTGAGGCAGGATAATCGCTTGAACCCAGGAGGCGGAGGTTGCAGTGAGCCGAGATCGCACCATTGCCCTCCAGCCTGGGTGACAGACTGAGACTCCATCTCAAAAAAACCAAAAAAAGAATATTTTGAAAATTAGCTTGATCGTTTAGAGCACTGCTTCTCATTCTTGAATTCCAGAATGTTTCTTGCCATGAAGAATTTCACAGTAGTTGGAAATTTCAGCCTTTAGTTCTTTGCCTTCTGGTTTTATGAAGTCTTGGTACACCTATTCTTAAGTGACGGTGAATTTACGTAGTTCTTATACTTGACAAGGTATTAAAGGTAACTCGGGGGACTGAGCTATAGATGGAATAAATGTGTAGGGAGAAAAAAGACAGACATCACTGTGACATTTATACTCTTATCACTTAACTCATGGAGATTTAATTAAATTTGATATGCTTTGAAATTTATTTCAGAATGTCTTTTCAGTTGCCACGTGTCCTTTTATTGAGAGTGTAGTCTTTTAAGATTCCAGTTTTATGCAGGAGTTTCCAGTTACATTCCCCACCTTGAGTGGGCCTGCATTTTATATCTCCTGCCCCTCTCACGTCCTGCATCCATCATAGGTGAAGCTCAAGAGCTCCAGGATTTAGTAGAAACCCTCAAGGTAAAAGCTGGCTCTTTCACTCAGTTACCTTATGTGTTAGTTTTCTGTTGCTTGTGTTACAAAGTTAGCAGTTTAGAACAACACCTCTTTATTATATTATACTTCTGGAGGATAGAGCCTGGGCAGGCCCCGCTGGGTTCTCTACTTAGAGGCCAAAGTCAGGGTATCGGCTGGCCTGGATTCTCATGTGGAGACTGTGGAGGAGAATTCATTTTCACGCTCCTACATCTTGGCAGAATTCAGTTTGATGCAGTTACCGGTCCCCATTACTGAGGTCCCCATTATTTTCCTGGCTGCCAGCTGGTGGCCATTCTTGGTGTTTAGAGCCCACTCACATTCCTTCTTCATGGCTCCCTCCATCTTCAAACCAGGAATGACAGGCCAAATCCTCCTTATGTTTGGAATCTTTCTTACTTCCCTTTCTGCCACATCTCGCAAATTCTTTTGCTTTTAAGGGCTCGTGATTATATTAGGTCAACCTGGATAATCTCCCCATTTTAAGGCCAGCTGATTAGTAACCTTAATTTCATCTGCAAAGCCTTTTTTAAATGTAATACAACAGCATTCACTAGAGTAAGGCCAGGGACCGAGATCGTGGAAGCCAAAAGTCTGCCTACCGCATCTTAGTCCAGAGTTCCTGTTTTTACTTCTTTTTGAAGGTCTGTGGATTCTTTATTTTCATGGCACCTTAGCAATACATTTTAAAAGCTTGTTTTATTTTATTCAGCATTTTGGTTATTTCCATTGGAAGAGTCATTCAGGGCGTTTAGTCTGCCACAGTGCTGGAAACTAAAGCTAGGATTACATGTTTTGTTTTGTTTTGTTTTGTTTTGTTTTGTTTTGTTTTGTGACAGGGTCTTGCTCTATTGCCTTAGGCTGGGGTGCAGTGTTGTGATCATGGTCACTGCAGCCTCTACCTCCCAGGCTCAAGCAATCCTCCCACCTCAGCCGCTGGAGTAGCTGCAACTTCAGGCGTGTGCTACATACTCAGCAAATTTTTTGTTATTTTTAGGAGAGACAGAAATCTCCCTATGTTGCCCAGGCCGGTCTCAGACTCCCAGATTGAAGTACTAACCCTCCTGCTTTGGCCTGCCAAAGCGCTGGGATTACAGGTGTGAGCCACTGCACCCAGCCATGATTACTGTTTAACTCGGGGTTCCATAGCACAGTCCTTGGATAAGAACTCCATACTTGATCCTAGTAACCAGTTAGGCTCTAGGATCAATATATACTTCATGTTTTTAATTAGCAGGTATTTGTGAAATATCTACTATGTGCCAAGTTCCTTTCCAGATGTTGGGATATAGCTATGAACTTAGTCAAAATTCCCGCACTCCTGGAGCTTACATTCAAGTGAAATGTTGAATTCGAACCTAAAAAGACACAGTCGCCTCAGAATGACTGACAGCTCTCAGACCAGCAAGACTTGTCTCTAATCTGAATAACATGTTAACAAAAAGACTCTACCTCAGCAGTCTGTCAGTTACAGCAACTCAAAAACATTGAGTGAGCATAAGGAATCCTCTGCTAGTGAGCTGAAAAGGAAAGCTTGCTTACCCGTTTTTTTCTTCCAGTTCTTTTCCCCTACCCTCATCCAACACATACATTTCTTCCCACCTACCACTCCCCTACCGCTACCCACATAGAGTCTACCCTACTGGGAGATCATAAACATAGGGAGATACAATAAATAAAAAGTGTGAATGTTTTGTAGTATTTGCCAAGATGGATTATGTAAATTTGAAATTGAAACTAGCAAAAATTATGTTTTAAAAAAATTGTTAAAATAATTTTTTATGGGCTGGGTGCAGTGGCTTATGTCTGTAATCCCAGCACTTTGGGAGCCCGAGGCCAGCAGATCACCTGAGCTCAGGAGTTCCAGACCAGCCTGGCCAACATGGTGAAACCTGATCTCTACTAAAAATACAAAAATTAGCCGGGTGTGGTAGCTTGCACCTATAGTCCTAGCTACTTGGGAGGCTGCGGCAGGAGAATCGCTTGAACCCTGGAGGTGGAGGTTGCAGTGAGCCGAGATTGCACCACTGCATTCCAGCCTGGGTGACAGAGCAAGACTCTGTCTTAAAAAAAAAAAAAAAAAAATTATAGGGCCTACTTATAATTTGAATAGCATTTTAGTTCAGGAGAGATGATAATACCAGACTAGGTTCTGTAAAGTGTGTTATAGCTTCTATAAGAAGCAATATAGAATTAACATTTAGATAAAACCTGGAAGTTTTTTTGTTTCATGTTATATAGACACAGCCAGAAAAGCTACTCACATTAATTATGTGATTTTGTAAATAAAGAAAAACAGAGAAGGCAGTTTAGTCTGCCTTATACTGGCCAGGTGTAATACACCTGTATTACCTGTATAGTGCTGGGTGTAATCCCAGCACTATACTGGCCGGGTGTAATACACCTGTAATCCCAGCACTTTGGGAGGCCAAGGCAGGTGGATCCCCTAAGGTCAGGAATTCAAGACCAGCCTGGCCAACATGGCAAAACCCTGTCTCTACTAAAAATACAAAAAATTAGTTGGGCGTGGTGGCATGCACCTGTAATCCCAGCTACTTGGGAGGCTGAGGCAGGAGAATTGCTTGAACTTAGAAGGCAGAGGCTGCAGTGAGCTGAGATTGTGCCCCTGCACGCCAGCCTGGGCAACAGATACGCCATCTCAAAAGAAAAAAAAAAAGTCTGCCTTATAGAGATAAAAGTCTGGTTTACTTAGCTCAAGTAAGTTCAAGATTTAAAGGAGATACATACATGTTACCTGCATTTTTGTTTTTTTATGTCTCAATATTCCACACTTTTTCGGGAGAGGGTGCTACTGTCATTCATTCAAGCAATATTTCTTAAGCACTATAGTGGTTCTGTCTCTGTTCCAAATCCCTGATATTTTAGAGTTACTTTTTAGTGGATGTAGACAAATATATGTAACAAGCATGTTTCAGGTACTGCTAGGTGCTATGAAGAAAAATAAAGCAGGATAAAAGAGATGGTAGGGTGAGGGAAGAGTGCAAGTAATGTTAGATGCCATGATAATATTTCAGTAGAAACCTGAAAAAGAGCAAACATTATGGATGTCTAGGGGTGAAACGTTCTAGGTAGAGGTTCTGAGGTAGGAACATGCTTTTGGTGTATTCAAGAAACACCCAGGAGTCTGAGTAAAGCAGGACAAATCTGGGATGTGAGATGAGAGTTCTGCTGTGGTTATGTTCTATTTCAGGTACCTACAAGACATCCAAGTGGAATTATCAAGTAAGCAGTTAGATTTATGAGTTTGGAGTAAGGTGGCAAGAATTAGGGCTTGAACAACCAGAAAAACAAACTGAGTGGGGTGGTCATGGGGATAGGAGAAAGAGGGTGGTGTCCTAGAGGCTAAATGAGAATGGTTGTTGTTTTTGTTTTTTTGAGACACGTCTCTGTCACCCAGGCTGGAGTGCAGTGGTGTCATCATAGCTCATAAGCAGCCTTGATCTCCTGGACTCAAGATCCTCCCGCCTTGGCCTCCCAAAATGCTGGGATTAAAAGCATGAGCCACTGTGCCTAGCCTTGAAAACAGTGTTTGAAGAAGTATAGAGAGGAATGAATAACATCACTTACTGCTCATAGGTTTTTTGTTTTTTTTTTTCCCAGATGGAGCCTCACTCTGTCGCCAGGCTGGAGTGCAGTGGCGCGATCTTGACTCACTGCAACCTCCACCTCCCAGGTTCAAGCGATTCCCCTGCCTCAGCCTTCTGAGTAGCTGGGACTACAGGCGCGCACCACCACACCTGGCCAGTTTTTCGTATTTTTTTAGTAGAGACGGAGTTTCACCATGTTGACCAGGATGGCCTCTTATCTCCTGACTTTGTGATCCGCCCGCCTCGGCCTCCCAAAGAAGTGCTGGGATTACAGGCGGGAGCCACTGCACCCGGCCCTGCTGATAGGTTTAATAAGGGGAGGACTAAGAAATAGCTATTGGATTTGGGGATGTCAAGATCATTGACAGACTTGTGAGGTGAAAGAAAGTTTTAGTGAAACTGAAAGGACGGGACGCAGATTGGATTGGGTGCAAAATACAGTAATGAGATAAAGTGGAAACAATGGGTTTGACTGGCTTTTTAGAGAAGTATTGTAAAAAGAGGGTAAATGAATCTATGTACTTGTAATCCCAGCACTTTGAGAGGCTAAGGTGGGTGGTTTGCTTGAGCCCAGGAGTTCAAGACCAGCCTGGGCAACATGGCGAAACCCCATCTCTACCAAAAATAGATGAAAATTAGCCAGGCATGGTGGTGCACACCTGTAGTTCCAGCTGCTTGGGAAGCTGAGGTAGGATTGCTTAACTCTGGGAGGTGGAGGTCTCAGCTGAGATCGCACCACTGCATTCAAGCCTGGACAACAGAGTGAGATGAGACTCTGTCAAAAAAAAAAAAAAAAGAAAGAAAGAAAGAAACATAGGTAGAAAGAAGATTTAAAGGAGATACATACATGTTATCTGCATTTTTGTTTTTTATGTCTCAGTATTCCATGCTTTTTCGGGGGAGGGTGCTACTGTCATTCATTCAAGCAATATTTCTTAAGCACTAGAAAGTGCTTAAGAAAGTAGAAAGAAAGTGTGTATTAAAAAATTGAAAAGCGGCTGGGCATGGTGGCTCACACCTGTAATCCCAGCACTTTGGGAGGCTGAGGTGAGTGGATCACCTGAGGTCAGGAGTTCAAGACCAGCCTGGCCAGCATGGTGAAACCCCGTCTCTACTAAAAATACAAAAATTAGCCGAGTGTGGTGGCGCATGCCTGTAATCCCAGCTACTCAGGAGGCTGACGCAGAAGAATCTCTTGAACCTGGGAGGTGGAGGTTGTGGTGAGCGAGATCGTGCCACTGCACTCCAGCCTGGGTGACAGGGCAAGACTCTGTCTCAAAACAAAACAAAACAAAAATTGAAAAGCATTTTTAAAGTTTAGTGTTCAGGTTAGGGCACATAAACACACTTGAGTTGGTTTATTTGGTCCTTTCTATGTTTTGTTTCAGTTCATCTACAGATGGCCGCTAAAAGCTATGGGAAATTTTAACAGTGAAATTAGTAATCTAGGGAGAAAGTTGCAGTTAATTCCTGTTACTCTAAATGTGTAATCAGGGCGTGGCGTGGTGGCCCACACCCGTAATCCCAGCACTCGGAGGCCTCGGTGGGTGGATCACTTGAAAGCTCAGGAGTTTGAGAGCGACCTGGGTTAACCTAGCAAAACCCGGTCTCTACAAAAACTGCAGAAATAAGCCTGGGTTGGTTGACACACACCTGTAGGCCAGCTGTTCGAAAGGCTGAGGCGATATTATCGCTTGAGGCCAGGAGGTCGAATCTGCAGTGAGCCATGATCACGGCATTGCACTCCACCTTGGGCCACAAAAAAAAAAAAAAACAAAAAAAAAACGGCTGGGCGCAGTGGCTCACACGCCTGTAATCCAATTACTTTAGGAGGCTGAGGTGGGAGGATGGCTTGAGGGGCAGGAGTTTGAGACCAGCCTGGGCAACATAATAAGACCCTCATTGCCACAGAAAAATTAAAAAAAAAAAAACAAAAAAAACAAAGACAGCTGGGCGTGATGGCTGGAGCCCAGGAGGTCAAGACTGCAGTGAGCCATGATGATGGGTTTTTTTTGGTTGCCCTAATTAGCACACTGATTTCAGTGCCTGTAGATCAGCCTGATAGGCTAATCATCATAGTTTTGGAGGCCACGTCCTAAACGTCAGACAGTAACTAATCTTGCCAGTTTTAGTTTCAGACACAAAGATGAGTTACAGAGACTTGAGCAATGAAATCTGTTTCAGGAAAAGGATAAATAGTAAACTATAAGAATTAACACTGATAGCAGTGAGAAGGAAGTACTACTTTTTTTTTGTTTTTTTAAGCATTAAAAAGGGCTTTGTATTTTTCTTAAAAATAAAAAAACCAGAATCTTTATTTCTGTGTTAAAATTGCTTCATCGATTGAAAATAAGAGCAGGTGTGCTTTATAAGTACAGTTACGAGGTTCTGTAGTTGATAAAAATGACTGTATGTAAAAGGATCTCAGTTTACATGTATCGTGTTTTAATCATGGTGGTAACGAAGATAATAGTTATTTGTGTTATAAAGAAATGATGCTGTTTGCAAGGTGATCTCAATTAACTGTATTGTTGGTATTGGCTGACATAGACAGTTGATACCACATGAAACGTGAGTTGGAGGCATCAGATTTTCCTCTGGTTTCACTTAATGACTTGGACTTAGGTTTACAAAATGCAGCTACTCCTTCAATGCTAACTAGGCAGTTTGCTACTGATTAATAGAAAGCTACATTTACAATAAAAATTTCATTTGTTTTTTATGTATCTGTTTGTCTTTTTATCAAAGAGTTTTTTTCTTTCTTTTTTCTTTTTTGGGTCAGGGTTCCAGCTGAGCCATCTTCCCTCCTGTCACTATCAGCAAGTCACAATCAGGTAATGTTTAGTAGTTGTGTTTATTTTTGCTTTTTAAACTAAGATGATTTTTTTTCTTTTATAATACTTAAATTGCCATTAATTGCCAGGTATATTTAAGCATTACTAGCTGTCTCAATCGATTAATATAACATATGTACGTGATACTTGCTAACAGTGTTTTTAGACACTAGATAGAAAATCTTTACCTTCATGATGGCTTTATAGTATTAGTTTGGTGCACCAACCTAATACATATAAGAACCGTGCAAAGACGGGAAAAGATTAGCCAATAAACACATTTCAAGCAATGCTAGGTGACTTCAAAGCAAAAGTTGCATGGGTCAACAGTAGTTCCCTAAATTGATAGGGAATATTGGTAACGTGATCCTCATTTTTACTTTTGTATGCACAATAACGCTTTGGTTCCAGCTGTCACACACAGACCTGGAACTTCATCAGAGAAGGGAGCAGTTAGTAGAGCGCACTCGGAGAGAGGCTCAGCTTGCTGCCCTGCAGTATGAGGAGGAGAAAATAAGGACCAAGCAGATCCAGAGAGATGCTGTCCTGGACTTTGTCAAAGTGAGTCGTTTGAATGATGCTGTTCAAGCTGCTGACTGGCTAAGTGCTTATTTGTTTGGTCAGGCCCGTTGGTTTTTATTGTCCATTAAAATGTCGACCATTTTTCTCTCTGTAAGGAATCTTGACTAAATAGAGTGTCTCTTTTACTTGTGTCTATCTGCATGAGGACAGAACAAGTGATTATCTTGTTAACGGTAAATCTGTCATTGGACATGTCACTTTACTATCCAGCTGCCATTTCCTCAATTTCTAGTGTCATAGTAAAGATCAGTAAGATGAAAGTGAAAGTGCTGTGTGAACCATAAAAGGCCCGTGCAGATGCAAACTGTTACTCAGACCTCTCTCCAGCTTCCTCGCTTTTGTAAATAACAAAAGTTTGCTAGCCTCACAGGCTTAATCCTTTGCAGGAACTTTGATTTGTTCCTTTCTGCTCTCCACACACATCCAATTAACAACGCCATTAATATTTCTTAACGTTTTGCAGCCTCTATAGTAGTGCCTGAAATGTTGTCATTTTATTTTACCTGTATTGCTTATCTTTTTGTTCTGAAATCGTCATTTTTTCTTCATAATTAATTATTTGTAATTTTGTTTACTTAATATCTGTCTCTCATTTATCTGTAAACTCCATGAAGGTAAGAACCATGTCTGTTTTACTTACTGCTGTGTCCCTAGACCTTAGCAGGTCTTAGCTCATAGTAATGGTCAATAAGTATTTGTTGAATGATTAAATGAATTTTTCTTGTCCACTAAAGACTTTCCTGTATTTCATACTTTAACTAGAGACCATCTCCTTTAAGTACGATGCGTATGTCTGTTTTACTGTTTTACCTGATAAACTCTTTTTTTCTGAATGTACCAGACCCTTGGCAATGACGTTTAACTCTCTTTCTCACCTGATTCCTCTTCATCCAACAAGTTCCCTTGTCTCTTGTTTTCTATAAAAATGCAGGCAAATCTGGCCGGGTGTGGTGGCTCACGCCTGTAGTCCCGGCACTTTGAGAGGCCAAGGTGGGTGGATCACCTGAGGTCAGGAGTTTGAGACCAGCCTGGCCAACATGGCAAAACCCTGTCTCAAGTAAAAATAAAAAAATTAGCTGGGCGTGGTGGTGCATGCCTGTAATCCCAGCTAACCAGGAGGCTGAAGTGGAGGAATTGTCTGAGCCTAGGAAACGGAGGTTGCAGTGAGCTGAGATCGTACCACTGCACTTCATGCAGCCTGGTTGACAGAGTGAGACTCCACCTCAAAAAAAAAAAAAAAAAAAAAAAAAGTAGGCAAATCTTTTGACCAATAGCAAAAATACTAAAATTAATATTCCTACAAGCAGAAGTTCACAAAGGTACCTCCCTCCCTCAAAACCTTGTCTGCCCTGAGATGTTTCTTCTTTTTGTGCCTTTTCAACCCTCATAAGAATTGTTAATGTACTAATGGCCATGTTCTCTTGTCCTCCTTTATCTCTGTCATTGTATTTTCACACAAGTCATCTAATACTATACATACTATATCTCCTAATTTGTCTAACCATTTCTCTTTCCCTTAAGTCCCTGCTTGATTTGTTACTACATACAAACTTTTTTATATAGTTCTCTTGAAACTAACGGAAATACTTTATTGGTTTATTCTTAATAGGTCATTTGGAGGTGTTCAGGTTTCACAGATGAGGAAGCTGTAGGTCTAGGAAGATTAAGCAATGTGGTCATTTATAGTACATTTGTTTTCTTAATCAGGAGGCAAACCTAGACTTCTGAAAGCCTAACTTGGTTCGTCCATTTGACTTGATAGACCTTTATGGAATGCTGGTTGTACAAGGAATATAAAGATGCATAAAATACAAGCCCTGCCCACCAGGCACAGCTTAGACCTTATCAGGGAAATAAACACAAATAAAACAGAAAATAAGGCAGCTTATAATGAAAGTGCTAGTTTTATATTCAAGACAGTAGAAGACTTAGAGAACAAGTATCATCAGAATTGACCTCAAAAAGAAATTATAGGGACCCTGAAGAGTGAGTAGGTAGGATTTAGCCAGGAAGAAAAGACTGGATGATGGTGTAAAGGGGGGTTCGTTTTAGGCTGAGGAAATCTAAACAGGATGGGAGCTGGGAATGGCCTTGTGTGATTTGTAGATTTAAAATAATGGCACTTGCAGGAAACACCAGCTGGCCTGGAGAGTTTGTATTGAAGACTTATGGGAAAAATGAATTATTGAGATGATGATAATCGTACTTAAAACTTATTGAATGCTTATTATGTAGTAGGCACTATTTTAAGTACATTATATATATTTACTCATTTAATTCTCCCAACTCTCTTTAGGTACCATTTTTTCTTTTTTTTTTTTTTTTTCCTTTTAATTACATTTATTTTAATGCTGAATTTACTCCCGTGCCGTAAGTTTTTGTTTCTTCAGTTTCTTCTGGGATATCTTTTTCTTCTGGGCAACCTCCTCTTCTGGTTTAGGAACAATCTGTTCCTTTTCCATAAGGATCATCTCAATGTGGCAGGGAGAGCTCATGTATGGGTTAATCCGACCATGAGCTCTGTAGGTCCGGCGGCACATCTCAGGTGCTTTGTTCACTTGGATATGCTCAATGACCAGAGAATCTACATCTGAACCCTTAAGTTCAGCATCACTCTCTGCATTTTTAAGCACGTGCAGCAAAAATTCAGCACTCTTTCTGGGCCACCGACCTTGTGTCCAGCCCCACTGCTTGGCCTGCGCACACCTGCCAACTCCATCATTGTAACGTCGGAATGGTACACGCTGTTTCTGTAAAGTGACATCTTTCAGATACTTCGTGGCTTTTCGTATATGCATACCCTTGGTGGCCTGAGCAGTTCCACGAGTGTTCTTAAAGTGAACACGAAGATTGGAACCTCTTGATTTGCATGATTTCGTGGGGTTCTCCGGGTCAAGTGAATAGCGAACCATTTTTCACAGATTACCTCAGGCTGCTTAGGGAAAGAGCCCATTTTTTCTTTTTATGAACAAGGAAACACGCTCAGAGAGAATAACAGTTTACTAAGATTAAATACTCAGGAAGTGGCAGGATTAAAATCCTGTGATTAGAACAAGGCAGGTTGGCTCTGAAGCCTATTCTGTGAGCACAGTCTATGCTGCCTCTCGGTAATAATGGTTAACACTGAATCTTAAGTGCTGTTCTATGTGTTTTGCATAAATTAACTTACTCAGTTTGCCTTCCGTAGAAGTCACACAGCCAGTAAGAGATAGTCAACTTGTAGAGAGTCTTGATTAAATGTCAAATTAGTGTTGGATCTTGATCTATTAAGTAAAAGAGAACACTTGAGTTTCAAAGCAGGAAAAAACATGAGAAGAGAGAGACTTCTGAAAAACTAATTGACTTGCGTTAGAACTGGTTAGGAAGAAAGACTAGAAAGAGGAAAATGAAGAAGGAAATTGCAATAGTTAGACTAGGGTGCAAAATAAGGCATAAAAACCAGATGGTTTCTAAAGGTCCTAAGGGTTGGCAGTATTGCAGTGACAAGAGCCTAAATTCAGAAATCTCTGCATTTGAATCCAGCTTTGCCACTTGCCGTGCGCTTGACTTTCAGAAAGCTACTGAGCCATTTTATGCTGTTAGGTTCCTCCTGTGTGTGATATTTAACTATTAAATATTAACTATCTCAGAATTATTATGGATATACCTAATGCTTAATACTAGTATGGTAGATGCTATATCCCCTATTACTATAATAAAATGGATTTGCTGAATTACCTATAAGAGAGATGGTGAATAAATCACAGATGGTGAATAAATCACTGAAGAGGGTGAAAAAAAAGAAGCTCCCAAAGCAAGGTTTGGAGGCTGAAAGATGGTTTCAAATGAGGGTCTAGCATTGTGGAAAGAACACAGGCTTTGCAGTCGGAAGGCAGGCCCAAACCAGTTATGCTGCTGACGAACTTGGAGACCTTGCACGTGCCGCATAACCTCTCTTCTCGATTTTCTCATCTCTAAATGAATATGATGATGATATTTTATCTCACACAGTAGAAGAATCACTGAAATACTGTGTACACAGTGACATACAGTAGAGCACGTTGTAAAGCAGGGACCACACCAATGCTATAATGTTATTATTAGATTATTAGACATCACACGTTGGAGAAAATAGCCAGTTAGTATGGGACATTGTGAGTTTGTTTTTGAATGTGTCAGATATGAGGTGGAGTGGGGTTTCCAAGTAGAGAGTTTCCATAGACAGTTGAAAACACAAACCTGAGATTTGCTTCTAGCTAAGGTTATTAGCATTCGAGTGATACTAAAGCCATTAGAGGGAGAGAATAAGTTCATCGAGTAAGAGGTCAATATTCTGATTATAAATGTGTTTGTGTAGATATATGTATAGTTTTTAAAATTTCTAGCTAAACATTTTCTAACTAGTAAATCTAGAAAAATGCTATAAACAAGAGGTAAAAAAATTAATTTGAGTGATTATTTTAGTAAATAGAATTTGTTATTTGCAGTGTTCCAGGCTCTAACCAACTTCCTTTTTTGGGGGGTTTTGGGATTATACAGCAAAAAGCATCACAAAGTCCACAAAAACAGCACCCGCTCCTAGATGGCGTAGATGGTGAGGTAAGTTGATGTAATCTCCTTTTCTTTGGAGTTGATTATTTTTGCAATGGAAATGAAATGTTTACATGTAATTGTCATGTTTTCAGTGCTCGGAATATTGCCATTTTTCTTTTTCCACCTCACAATATTCTCCTTATGAGGGAGATGATACAAGCCAAGGAGTTTACTAGAATCTATAGATCAAGGCTTTTTTCAGCTATACACATCCATCTAGAGATGATATTTCCCTCCCTGACCCCCACCAGAGGCACCGTCCCCGTCTCCTCCACTTTTGAAGCGTTGTGTGTAGAGTCCTGGGAGCTTTACCTGGTACAGGTAAATGGAGTGGCTACTAAACAAAAAAAGACTCTTACATAGGATTTCAGATTCAGTGCTATCAATGATAACACTTATTTTATAATATCAAATAGTACATTTTTCTTACAGATTAACAGAAAATAAATCACTTAACCTTTTAAAAATCTACACACCTCTTTTGATCTGTTAAAATGAAGCTTACTAAATGTTTTTCTTGTAGTTGGCTTTCTCATTAACCATTTTCCCTTTAAAAACCTACCAGTTTTTTCTTTTTCTTTTTCTTTTTTTTTGAGACAGAGTCTCACTTTGTCACCCAGGCTGGAGTGCAGTGGCGCGATACTGGCTCGCTGCAACCTCCGACTCCCGGGTCCAACTGATTCTTCTGCCTCAGCCTCCCGAGTAGCTGGGACTACAGGTGTGCACCACCACGCCTGGCTAATTTTTGTATTTTCAGTAGAGACGGGGTTTCACTGTGTTGGTCAGGCTGGTCTCGAACTCCTGACCTCATAATCCACCTGCCTCGGCCTCCCAAACTGCTGGAATTACAGGCACTTAATTCCACTGCGCCTGACCCAGTTTGTTTTAATTTATGATCATTACCTCCTTGAAAAATGCATAAAAGCGTTGTTTCATGTGAATTTTGACTTTGCTTTTCATAAAATAAGTTATTTGAAAACCTAACACGTGGGGCTTTACAAGCAACAATTTTCAGTGTTTTTAAAGCACAGGAGTTTCTGGTATGGAAAAGTGTATTGTTTGAAATGTTTTCAATTGTCCATTAGAAAGGTTTTTAAAAAGTTTTATCAGACATAGAACTACTTCTGTTTTTTTATGTTAGAACATTATATATTTGTATAATACCTCAAAGATTGGCTCCAGCATGTTCACTTGTCTTTTCTTCACCTGGTAATAATACTAACACATTTTCGACAACCAAAGTTTGATAAATTTAATGTGTGTTTTCTTTTTTACCCCAATATTTCCTTCTTGATGATTGTTTTCAAGTAATTCATTCTCAAGAAAACTAAAGCTCCACAGGAAAATAACATAAACAGTTCTAAAAATTGTAATTGTACTTTTCATTTTGCTTAAGAAAGAAAATGAAGAGATACTTAGACTAGAAATTATGACTCTGGGCTTCTTGTTTGTTACTGGCTCACTAAATGACCATAGGTTCTTTATGTTATTGTTACATCTCTCTCCAGCTTTCTGTTCCCTCCTTGCTTTGTAAGGTTTTAGGCAATAAGATCGTATTTGAAGTTGTTTAAACTCTGGGAGAAGATCAGTACTCAGAACCAACTTACTGACTATTATAATGCATGAATTCCAGATGATTGTGAATGTGGTCCTCTATGTCAACGTCTTCAAAAGTATGTCTTAATATGTCTCTTCCCTTGTGTGTGTATTCGTGAAATACGTCACACGTGTGCGTAGTTTGTTTCTGACATGGCTTCATTTTTCTCCATCTCTCCAGTGCCCCTTCCCATCCAGAAGGTCTCAGCACACTGATGATAGTGCCTTGTGCATGGTAAGAGTTTTGCACAAAACGGAGTTTCGCATTTCTGTGTTTAGAGATTGTACTTTTTATTCAGAAACTATCTAAATACCATAAAACATGATGAACATCATTACTAAATGCTTTATGAAGAACTAAACCATTTTCCCACATGACCATTTGTGATTGACCCAGTGTTTCAAAGTTCTGCAGCTCATATCTTTGTCAGTGCCACCGAAAGGAAAACATTTGCCTTGAGAACCATATTGGCTTTGTGTGTGCTGGGAATGGAGGCATAACATAATATTCATGTTTTAAATGTGTCTAATTCCAGGAGCACTTACTTTATTAATCATTAATTTGGCTCATGGGTCACCTATATGTTAAGGTGACTCATGACACTGATTGCACAGCTGTATATTTGGCATCCAATTTTATGATGTATTTTCAGCTACTGAAAATCCTTCACTTTGGTTTTAAATACTTACAGCTCAAGATTATTCCTTCATGTTCACTTTTTAAACCCAAGGAAACATTAACTGCTGATCGTGTTGAACACTGGCTTACTTTTATTGCCTGTTTCATCAGCTCAAAATGAGTATAAGATGGAAGGTTTATTTAACATCTTATTAGCCTTGCGAAAGAATTCTAACCATTTCTAGAATTTCTTTCCCCATCATGTTTTATGTGATTGTTTTCATAGTAGTACGTTCAGAGGTCTAGTGCCTACAGTGCTAGTAACTGCTGCCAGGGTGCATCCTGCTGCGTGAGCTGCATGCCTCAGCATGACATTCCTGTTACATCAGCTTCCGTGGTCTGTTCGCATTGCTGTGTATTCCACAACCTTCATTTCCTTTGAGATGGATAAAGCACCTTTTAACTGGGCGGTCTTATAGGTGAATACAATCATCACACTCTAGAGTTTTAGTTTAAGTGAATTGGCCTAAGAAGCGAATAATAAGTTAAAAATGTAGACAAATATTGAGAGCCTCCGACGATCCAAACACTTACCAAAATTATCTCATTTACTCCTCGCAGCAACCTTAAGAGTGAAGGTTAAACTTATCACCTTTTTACAAATGATTACTGAGGCCCAGAATGTGACTTGTCCAATGTCGCATAGACAGTAAGTGCAAGGCTGGGAATCCACATCTGTCTGGCTGATGGGAGAACCTGCATTAAACACCATACTGAAACTGAAAACCGTTTAGGAAACCGAAGGTTTAATAACACATGGAATAAGTGGTATAAGTCTGAGTGCCAAGACTTTTTTGTCAACAAAACAGTGGAATTTAGAAAAACAACAACAGCAAAATCCCCTTAGTGCGTAACTTGAAATTCCCTTCGGCCGTTTGTCAAAACACACTCACTTAAGTCTTAGTTCTCAGTATTCATATCTGATCCTCCAAATTAGACGGCCTTTAAAACACATCTCACATTTCTTTGTCTGCCAAATAGTGTCCAACCAACACTGTGCAAAAAGAGTCGTATTTTAAATAAAACCTCATATTATCAAAACTGTGCTTCAGAAGGCTCCCGTTGCTTAGAGTGAAGTCCGAACGTGGCCTCGAAGCTCCCTCGTGCTCTACTGCCTCCCTCTCCAGTCTCCTCTCTGGGCTTGTGCCATACCAGCATTGTTTCCAGCTCTTCAAATATCATAAGCCCTTTCCCATCTCAGACCTTTGCAAATGCTGTTTCTTTTACATAGAATGCCTTTCCCTCCCTGCATGTACCCCTTGATTAATTCCTACTCACCTATCAGGTATTTGTTTAAATGTTCCATCTTTAACATGACTTTTCGGCAGCCCACCACCCTTAAATCAGCCCACAGTTTGACAGTTAAATAAACTGACAGGAGCTCCAGTGCGTTTGATGAAAAGGAGGCCCGGGAAGTATACATAGTGTATTACTGTTGTCACGGTAATTTTTTTATCATGGTAGTTTTATTTGGGTGTTTATTATTTTATTTTGTATTTTTAAATTTAATTTTATTCTTTATTTTTATTTATTTATTTAATTATTTTGAGACAGAGTCTCCCTCTGTTGCCGAGGCTGGAGTGCAGTGGCATGAACATGGTTCCTTGAAGCATCAGCCTCTTGAGTAGCTGGGACTACGGGTGCATGCACCACACGTGGCTAATTTTTTTATTTTTTTGTAGAGTCAGGGTCTCACTGTGTTGCCCAGGCTGGTCTCTAACTCCAGGGCTCAAGCAATCCTCCTGCCCCAGCCTCCCAAAGTGCTGAGATTACAGGCATGAGCCACCGTGCCCAGCTTGTTTATTCTTTTATTATCTCTTTTCTGTTGGACTACTAGACTATAAGCTTCATGAACACAAGGATATTCTATTTTGTCTTAATGTACCTTAATACACTCCATCCCTACCACAGTTCCTGGGATATATTAGGTGCTCAGTAAATATTTCCTGAATGAACATATAAATTCTGTGCATCTACTGATTATTAAATTGTTTTGTGATGAAAAGGTCTGATGAACGATATCATAAGGTAAATGCTGAATTTGATTTAAAGACCTTGAAACTTACGATTTGAAATGAAGATTTATAACAGCTAATATCAGTTTACACTGACATTGTCTTCGGGCTGCCCCTCAAGCTTCTATTAATATCAGTTTACACTGACATTCTCTTCGGGCTACCCCTCAAGCTCCTGTTAATATCAGTTACACTGACATTATCTTTGGGCTACCCCTCAAGCTCCTGTTAACATCAGTTTACACTGACATTGTCTTCGGGCTACCTCTCAAGCTCCTGTTAATATCAGTTTACACTGACATTGTCTTCGGGCTACCCCTCAAGCCCCTGTTAATATCAGTTACACTGACATTCTCTTCCGGCTACCCCTCAAGCTCCTGTTAATATCAGTTTACACTGACATTGTCTTCGGGCTACCCCTCAAGCTCCTGTTAATATCAGTTTACACTGACATTGTCTTCGGGCTACCCCTCAAGCTCCTGTTAATATCAGTCACACTGACATTCTCTTCCGGCTACCCCTCAAGCTCCTGTTAATATCAGTTTACACTGACATTGTCTTCGTTCTGCCCCTCAAGCTCCTGCTAGTATCAGTTACACTGAGATTCTCTTCAGGCTACCCCTCAAGCTCCTGCTAGTATCAGTTACACTGACATTCTCTTCGGGCTACCCCTCAAACTCCTGTTGCTTTCGTCTATATCAGGTCTCATTTTAAAAGAATATGAGGCTCATTTTACCTCTTCTTCCTCCACTCCTAGTTTTCCTTTTTATATTTGACATTGGCAGTAGTTCCAGTACCTTTGATTAAAAAGCAGGCCCAGGAAATCTAAACCCCAGAAGTATACACAGTGTATTACCATTGTCACAGTTTTGCTCTTTGGTATATTTTTATCTTCATTATTTGCTGCCTTAAGATAGATTTTGTGATACATATAATACATTGTGTGTTACATGCTGCTTTTGTTAAATAAAAATATGTTAATTCTCATTAAAAATACAGTTGTATTTATTTCATTGACCATATACATACCTTTTCCTAAACACCTGTTTGTTTTCTTGTTCATTTATCTCATAGTTTAGAAATTTATGGTCCTAGTTTAAATTTTTAAAAATTACTTATAAAGACTTCACTATTTTTAAGCTCTTGGCATTTTGTTGTTTTAATAGGTAAAACCTTATCCAGGGCTCTTTGTGAAAGTATTGTCTTCTCTGATTTCCACTCTCCATGTGGCAAATGAGAAAAATTGTCATGTTTTGAGCACCTCTTACCTGTAATCAAAATTCTATGTAATACTTTAAATTTTTGTCTTTTTAATTGACAATAATTATATAGATACAATCTATCTCTAATACAGCTAACCAGTTGTTATGTTGGTTGGTGAAAGATAAAGGATTCGAAGAAAAGGGAAATTCCACCTTCCCCTCTTATAGTCATTAGGAGTTTCACAGAGGCAGAGATGAAATGCCGGTTCCTCCTTTAGGTTGATGCAGAATCCTCATGTCCTAATTATAATATATATAATTTGGATTAATGTTGAAAAGATATTGTTTTTATTGATGCCAGTTCTGCTTGGTTAAAACCCCTCATCGTAGGAACAGGACTCACTAGTTTCAAGGCTACTATGCTAACAATGTTGATGTTCTGTTTTATTTCTGCATAAAATCATTTTTCAGAAATCATGCCTCTCATTTCTTGATTAATGTGGCATGAGGTATTGAGACTATCCTGAATTATACAAGTGGAAAAACTGTGTCCATGGGTTTTTGTCCCCCAAATATTCTCTTCCTGCCCTGTCAGTAGCTTAGTAAACCATTTGAAAGATCGTCAGTGACCTTTCCTTTTCTCATTTCACTAGTCAGATCTGCCTGCCTGACATTTGCTAACATAAATGCTGCCTTCTGTTTCTTCTCTTTCTCATTTGAAATGTAGTCGCTGTCAGGGTTGAATCAAGTGGGCTGTGCTGCTACCCTGCCTCATTCTTCTGCCTTCACGCCTCTTAAGGTATCTCTTGTTATTGTAATTCACCAGGAAGTTTGGGGAGGAGGTGGATATAAGGTCTTGAATTTTTTGGTGAATTGATCTAACAATCTGAAATATAGGATCGCATAAATATACCTGTTTATGGAACTATTTGTTTAACATTGATTTCCCTTGAAATTTTTTGAAAGTTTTATGATGCTAGAGATAGTCATAGAGCTCACATTAATTCTTCGTATTCAGATTGTTTGATGTGTCATTCTGATTTTTTTATCAAAGGTGTTTTTCTTGTGAGTTATTATTTCACTTTGGTTAGTATATAATATTGAATTAACTCTGTTGTCTAATGTGCATGCAAAATAATTTGAGTCCAAAAAAACTATCACTACCAAAACCTTCTACAGTAGGGGTCAACCAACTATGGCCCCTAGGCCACCTGTTTATAAGTAAAGCTTTATTTTTACATAGCCAGTCCCTTTTGTTTATGCATTGCCTATGGCTGCTTGCACAGTAAACAGCTGAGGTGGAATAATTGTGACCAACATCATATACCTACAAGCCTAAAATATGTACAGTCTGGCCCTATAAGAAAAAAAATCGCAAACCCCTGCTTTTTATCAGCAATAATGTCATAAGAGATGATACATTCCACCTTCTGGAAAAATTTAATCTAAACTCTAAAAATTAAGAACCTGTAGTATTTTATTTTTTGAAGGCCTCTAGGAGTGGTAATTCCATATTTGTTATCACTGGATATGTACAAAATGATCAATAATTCTCACTGTCAAGAAGACCTTTGTCTAACTTACAACTGTCCTGCTGTGGTTTATACTTCTTTTCTTTCCAGAGTGGAGATTTTCTAGTTATTTAGCATTTTTTAATGTAAGAATCCTTTTTTTTTTTACACAAAATACAATATTTTTTTAATGTAAGAATTTAAAAACAATTACGATGCCATCCTTAGCTTCTTCCTAAATAAACTCAGATTCTTTTACATGCCTTTCCCAGACTGTTCATCTTTAATGAATTTTCACAAGTTCTGTGCCCTCCATTCTGGCTTCATGGTCCAAACTAGAAATACATCCCTCGTTAGAGCTTGCTCATTTAGGGTGATTTTTAAATTTTTGGTCTTCATTTTGCTCAGTATCCACTGGAATTCTCAAATATTTTAGTTATACCTCTTCTATGTGTTGAGACAGGGTCCTGCTCTGTCTCCCAGGCTGGATCCTCCCTCCCTAGCCTCCTGAGTAGCTGGGAATACAGATGCGCACCACCATGCCTGGCTGACTTTTTAAGTTTTTGTAGAAACAAGGTCTCACTGTATTGCCCAGGCGGGTCTCAAACTCCTGGGCTCAAGAGATCATCCTGCCTCGGCCTCCCAAAGTGCTAGGTGTCAGCCACTGCGCCCAACCTCCTTCAACTTCTAAATGACAGTTACTTTCCACGTGTTGTATTCTTTATTTTTTCTTGAATATTTAATTTTGCTGTTTGAATATTTTTACTTGTCTCATGTACCAGAATACTTTCAAATTGTTGCATTGAGCCAGGTACACTGGCTCACACCTGTAATCCCAGTGTTGGTAGCCCGAGGGGGAATACAATTGAGGCCAGGAACTCAAGACTGCAGTGAGCTGTGATCACACCACTGTACCCCAGCCTGGGACAGTGCAAGACTGTGTCTCTAAAAACATTAAAACCGAATTCTTGTATCATGTCCTTTTTTTTTTTACTTTTTAATTTTTGTGGGTACATAGTAAGTGTGTATATGGGGTTCATGAGGTATTTTGATATAGGTATACAGTGCATAATAATTATATCAGGTAAATGGGCTATCCATCACCTCAAGCATTTATCCTTTGTGTTACAAACAATCCAGTTATACTCCTTTAGTTATTTTTAAATGTACAATTAAATTATTGACTGTGATGACCATTTTGTACTATCAAATGCTGGATCTTATTCTTTTTATTTTTTTTGGACCCATTAACTGTCCCCATTTCCTTCCCCCACCCTCCCACTACCCTTCCCAGCCTCCGGTAACCCTCAGTTTAGTCTGTCTGCATTGTGCTTTTTTAAATGCTGACCCCAACTTTTTTTTTTTTTTTTTGAGACGGAGTTTTGCTCTTGTTGCCCAGGTTAGAGTGCAATGGCACAATCTCGGCTCACTGCAACCTCTGCCTCCTGGGTTTAAAGCGATTCTCATGCCTCAGGCTTCCGAGTAGCTGGGATTACAGGTGCCCACCACCAAGCCCGGCTAATAACCTCAACTTTATAACAACTGTAAATCTGAGAAACCTCCTCTGGTTATTGTTGAGCATGCCCTACATACCTGGATGCCTCCTGAAAAAACTTCATAATTCTCTTCCATGTGAACCCTTTGCTAGCCGTTCTCAACTGGGATCCTTACTGGAACAACACAGAAAATTATTTCAGCAACTTTTTTTCAAAATGATCTCAAGGAAGGTCCATAACTGGCACCATTCTAGATGTATGGGAGAGAAGTTAATTTGTTGTACTCCATGAACACCTTCGGGCATTGTGGCTTATTCAGAGTCATAACTGAGAGTTGTTTTGACTGTGCCAAAAGTTGTGTGGTCCAGACAGACCACAGTGTCTTGTTCTACAGTGACTGTCATATGAGATTAAAAATAAAACTTCACTAGATTTAAGATAGATAAGTCTTTTTTTTCTATCCGACCTGCTGTACTGTCAAATTATTATTTTAAAAGATTTATTCTTTATTTTTTTAGTATCTCTATTACTTTCACAGCAATTATACATTATACTTATGAATTTATTTCTTTTATTGCTTAGCTAGGCTTAAAAGTTGAGTTTATATCAGTTCTGGGTTTTTTTTTCTTTCCATTGCCTCAATTCTCTAGTGAGAGATTATTTCTTAACCTTTTTTTTGCTCTCCAGTTTTCCAAGAGTTCCCAAATGTAGTTAATGGCCTCACAGTGATTTAAGCTAATGATTTTTAGTATCCTAGAATGCAAGTCACTTAGATTTATAGCTTTAATAAAAATACATTTCAGAAACCATTTTTACACGTCTCCTCTCCTCTGGCTTTGTTTTCATCACGCCCAGTAGTATATTATCTGTTGCTGTTTCTTTCTTTTTTGTTTTCCTTTGAGACGGACTCTTGCTCTGTCGCTCAGGCTGGAGTGCAGTGGTGAGATCTCAGCTCACTACAAACCTCTGCCTCCCAGTTTCAAGTGATTCTCCTGCCTCAGCCTCCCGAGTAGCTGCGATTACAGGCGCATGCCACCACGCCCAGCTAATTTTTGTATTTTTAGTAGAGATGGGATTTTACCGTGTTGGCCAGGCTGGTTTCAAACTCCTGACCTCAGGCAATCTGCCCACCTCTGCCTCCCGAAGTGCTGGGATTACAGGCGTGAGCCTACTGCGCCCGGCCTGTTGCTGTTTCAAACCGAAGGAGAGAACATTCGCTGCCCTTCATTGTTGTTTCAGCTCTTCTCATCTCATAAAGTTGCCTGTTAACTTTCTCCTTTTATTCCTTAATACTTTTAAATTTCTAGTCTATGTCCTGTTAATAGGAAGTGTTTTTTAAATTTCTAGTCTATGTCCTGTTAATAAGTGTTTTTTAAATTTCTAGTCTATGTCCTGTTAATAAGTGTTTTTTAAATTTTTGAAAATATTTTTTCCTCCATTGTCTAGAATAATCTCTACCTTGAATGTTTCTCTTTTTGTATTATTGGTCCTTGAACATGTCTTTGTTTAACCAATTTTCTACTTATTCACAACCCTGGAAAATAAACATAGTCTTTTACTTCCTTGTAAAGATATCTGGCTTTTGCCTCATTTACCTGTTCATTCCTTTTACCAGTTTCTGTTACTCTTGTTTGAATTAAATTTCTTATTTAAATTTCCATTTTTTCTCAACACCCAGAACTTAGTTTACTTGCATCTATAAACCCGATGAACGTGTCTTTTCCACTTAAGATGTGAACACACTGCCTTACGAGCTCAGCTCACTGTTTAAATCTTAGTTCTCCACCTGTGATATCAAACTAAGGAATTGTTACCAGAAAATTGTCTCCAAGTGAGTCTTGAGAATTTTCTCAACATATGGCCTTGGTTTATTTATTTATTATTTATTTATTTATTTTTAGCAGTTAAAATTATTTGTCCTCATTTATCTGACCCAACTGTAAGTAGCGATGTAAGAGTTCTGAAAATATTGAAACCAATGGTAGGGAAAGTATGGGAGCAGATTTGTATGTTTGTGTTAATTTTAGAGTCATTATGTCCAGAAATGTGCCTTAGTCGTATCATAAAGTTATAATATATTTAGATTATATTTCAAGGCAATTAGATGTCAAGGCCTAAAAAACTATTAATGTTATTCTAGCTTTTCTTTTATTTATTTATTTATTTTGAGATGGAGTCTCACTCTGTTGCCCAGGCTGGAATGCAGTGGCGCCATCTCGGCTCACTGCAACCTCCGCCTCCATGTTCAAGCGATTCTCCTGCCTCAGCCTCCCAAGTAGCTGGGACTACAGGCGCCACCACCATGCCCACCTAATTTTTGTATTTTTAGTAGAGACGGGGTTTCACCATGTTGGCCAGGATGGTCTCAATCTCTTGACCACGTGATCCACCCACCTCAGCCTCCCAAAGTGTTGGGATTACAGATGTGGCCCATCGCGCTCGGCCTATTCTAGCTTTTCTTAACTGTACTCCCCTGCCAAGTCTTCAGCAGCTTTAACCTAGTCAACCTACATTTCTTTGTAAATTAGCTTAACTACATTTCCCTTTCTTTAGGTAAGCTTTGTAACTGTTTGGCTAGTTCTTCCTCCTTTTTACAGTTCTTTTGGTCAATGAATTGAAAATGTCTTGGACTCAAATACTAGTGTAGAAAATATATCTATCATCTCTTAAACATCTTCTCTCCTAACCGAAATTAGGAAACCTATATTACTTTTTAAAAATATTAAATTTTATTCTCCAGAGAAAAAAGTACTTTAGAAACTATTATGGAGAAATACTATTAGAAAATAAAATGTTGCTTTTTCTTTCTCATATATTTCCCAGTAACATTTTCTGTCTTAGGATGATCATTTTTCATAGTCTTAGGAAGAGCTTGTTAAATAATGGACTGTCTTTATATAAACACAACTAGGCCGGGCGTGGTGGCTCATGCCTATAATCCCAGCACTTTGGGAGGTCGAGGCAGGTGGATCACCTGAGGGTCGGGAGTTTGAGACCAGCCTGACCAACATGGAGAAACCCTGTCTCTACTAAAAATACAAAATTAGCCAGGTGTGGTGGCACATGCCTATAATCCCAGCTACTCGGGAGGCTGAGGCAGGAGAATCACTTGAACCCGAAAGGCAGAGGTTGTGGTGAGCTGAGAGTGCTCTATTGCACTCTAGCCTGGGCAACAAGAGCGAGACTCCATCTCAAAAATAAAAAATAAAAACAGCTGGGCGTGGTGGCTCATGCCTGTAATCCCAGCACTTTGGGAGGCCGAGGCAGGCGAATCACCTGAGGTTGGGAGTTCGAGAACGGCCTGACTAACATGGAGAAACCCCGTATCTACTAAAAATACAAAAAAATTAGCTGGGTATGGTGGTGCATGCCTGTAATCCCAGCTACTTGGGAGGCTGAGGCAGGAGAATTGCTTGAACCCGGGAGGCGGAGGTTGTGGTGAGCTGAGATCGTGCCATTGCACTCCAGCCTGGGCAATAAGAGCTAAACTCCATCTCAAAAAAAAAAAAACAAAAAACAAAAAAACAAAAACTTGGCTTTTAAAAATACAGAATTAATTCATTTCACCAAATCCTCATTTCTTTTTCTTCTTCTTCTTTTTTTTTTTTTTTTTCCAAAGGGGGTCAGGCCAGGCACGGTAACTCATGCCTATAATCCAGCACTTTGGGAGGCTGAGGCGGGTGCATCGCTTGAGCTCAGGAGGTTGAGACTAACCTGGCTAACATGGCAAGACACTGTCTCTACAAAAAATGCAAAAATTAACTGGGCATGGTGATGTGTCCCTGTAGTCTCAACTACTTGGGAGGCTGAGGTAGAAGGATCACCTGAGCCTGGGAGATCATGGCATTGCAATCTAGCCTGGGCAACAAGAGTGAGACCTTGTCTCAAAAAAAGAGAGAGAGAGGGAGAGAGAGAGTCTCCCTCTGTCACCCAGGCTGGAGTGCAGTGGCACAATCATTACTCACTGCAGTCTTTAATTCCTAGGCTCAAGCAACCCTCCCTCCTCAGCCTCTACAGGAGCACACCACAATGCCTGACCAATTTTTTAGACGTTTTGTAGAGACAGGGTCTCACTATGTTGCCTAGGCTGGTCTCAACTCCTGCTCTCAAGTAATCCTCGCACCTCAGCCTCCCAAAGTACTGGGATTACAGGCATGAGCCACTGCACCTGACCCAAATTCTCACCTCTAGACTTAATCGTGAAGGAGAGTTACCTGTTTTTTGTCTTTTATAATTTCAAAATTACCATAAAAGTAGAAAGTATTTCTTCTTGAATAACAATTATTGATATATGTCTGTTTCTCCACAGAGTGATGACAGACCTAATGCTCTATTAAGTTCACCTGCAACAGAAACAGGTAATAGACACAAAGGTGCAATTAACCACATCAAGATTATAATTCTTTATTTTTTTATTTAAAAAATAATAATAAATAGAGACGAGGCCTTTCTGTGTTGACCAGGGTGGTCTCAAACTCCTGGGCTCAAGGGATCCTCCTGCCTTGTTCTCCCAAAGTGGTGGGATTACAGATGTAAGCCACAGCACCCGGCTAAGATTATAATTTTTTACCAAGATTTTCCTAAATTACTTGTTAGAGAGCTGTGGCTGCTTTTTCTGAGATAGAAATCAGATACAGAATTGGAAACCACTGGGTTTTTTTTTTTTTTTCCCATTTTTAAATTAAATTGGTTGCTCAGCTAGTCAGCCATTTGATATGAATAAGTGAACAACAGCCGTAGGTCTGCGGGAGACTGTTCAATATGATAACATTCATTCTGCCTTTATTGATAACACCAAAAATAACATGACAATGTAAAATACATACAAGCGGTCCTCCTGGTTTCATGATTATTTTCTGTACCAGACTTTTCATCATTAAATAGAATTATTTTATATCATTGCCATGTTTATTTTTTACTTGTTACTTTTGTAACTTGTATGTCTGCTATTATATTTTCATCTCCTTTAATCTCATTTTATTTTTCATGCTAATTTAGTTCATCATTCCCCTGCATATTCTTTTCCTGCTGCTATCCAGAGAAATCAGCCTCAGCGCCCTGAAAGCTTCCTTTTCCGAGCAGGTGTCAGGGCAGAAACCAACAAAGGTAGGTGGTGGTGATTTTAAAAGCCAGGAGCGAGGGGAGGTTTACACAACGACGCTAGCTGTTAGATGGATGCTTTTAAACTTCTGCATATAGTATAAGACAAAGCTATCAGCTCGGCAAAAGCATGTGTCTGTGATCTCACTGATACTAAAGCAGGAAAATCTTATCTGAATTTGTTTGGATGAGAAAGTTTCTTAGTGCCACCTAAAAGCAGGTTATAGAGTGTTTGAACAAATAAAATGCGCTTTCGAGGCTTTAGAGAATGTTCTTTGTCTTGGTAATGAACTCTTTTTCACATTTTTCTATTGATAAAAGCTGTTTTCTTAAAACAATAATTGTTTTAAAATCTACTTTAAGTCTCATGTTCTTTTAGTTAATAATGACAAATTTCTCCCTGGTCCCCAAAGAAGTTACCTGGGAGTGGAAACAAACATTTCAAGTCAAAAATAACAACTTTTATCATGGTGGTGTGTGCCTGTGGTCCCAGCTACTTGGGAAGCTGGCGGGGAGGATTGCTTGAGCCCAGGACTTCAGGGTTACAATGAGTTATAATTAAAAGCACCACTGTTCTCCAGCTTGGCCAACAGAGCAAGACTCTGTCTCTTAAAACAAACAAACAAACAAACAAACAAAAATAAGGTCAGGCGTGGTGGCTCACGCCTGTGATCCCAGTGCTTTGGGAGGCCAAGGCAGGCAGATCACTTGAGGTCGGGAGTTTGAGATCAGCCTGGCTAACGTGGTGAAACCCTGTCTCTATTAAAAATACAAAAAATGGCTGGGCACGGTGGCTCACACTTGTAATCCCAGCACTTTGGGAGGCCAAGGCGAGCAGATCACGTCATTTGAGGAGTTCATGACCAGCCTGGCCAACATGGCGAAACCCCGTCTCTACTGAAAAAATACAAAAATTAGCCGGGTGTGGCAGCAGGCGCCTGTAATTCCTGCTACTCAGGAGGCTGAGGCAGGAGAATTGCTTGAACTTGGGAGGCAGAAGTTGCAGTGAGCCAAGATGGCGCCACTATACTCCAGTCTGGGCGGTAGAGTAACAAACTGGCCAGGCATGGTGGCAGGCGCCTGTAATCCCAGCTACTCGGGAGGCTGAGGCAGAGTCGCTTGAACCCAGGAGGTGGAGGCTGTAGTGAGCTGAGATTGCGCCACTGCACTCCAGCATGGATGACAGTGTGAAACTTATGTCTCAAAAAAAATTAAAAAATAGGCCAGGCGTGGTGGCACGTGCCTGTAATCCTCGCACTTTGGGAGGCCGAGGTAGATGGGATCACTTGAGCTCAGGAGTTCGAGACCATCCTGTGCAACATGGCAAAACCCCATCTCTTAAAAAAATACAAAAAATTGGCTGGGTGCGGTGGCTCACACTTGTAATCCCAGCACTTTGGGAGGCTGAGGCGGGCAGATCACGAGGTCAGGAGATCGAGACCATCCTGGCTAACACGGTGAAACCCCATCTCTACTAAAAATACAAAAAAAATTAGCCAGGCATGGTGGCAGGTGCCTGTAGTCCCAGCTACTCGGGAGGCTGAGGCAGGAGAATGGTGTGAACCCGGGAGGCAGAGCTTGCAGTGAGCCGAGATCGCACCACCGCACTCCAGCCTGGGTGACAGAGCGAGACTCCGTTTCAAAAACAAAAACAAACAAACAAAAAAAGGCATGGTGGTGCAGGCCTGTAGTCACAGCTACTTGTGGGGCTGAGGCGGGAGGATGGATTGAGCCCAGGAGGTTGAGGCTGAAGTGAGTCAAGATTGCGCGATTGCACTCCAGCTTGGGTAACAAAGTGAAACCCTGTCTCAAAAAAACAAAAAAAACACAACTTACCTTCAATGTTACCAACAGATGCATTCACAGTAAGATTTAAAAGTCAAACTACAGATGCACTGCTGGTGAGAGTGTAAGAAAGCATGGAAGACTGTTATCAGTCAGCCTCTGTACCCACAGATTCTGTATTTATGGATTCAACCAGTCATGGACAGAAAAATCTTCAGAAACAAGACAACGATAATAAACAATGCCACAATAAAGAAATAATACTAATTTTGAAATACAGTATAGTAACAATTTATATAGCATTTACATTGTATTAAGTATTGTAAGTAACAGAGATGATTTAAAGTATAGTATAAAGGAGGATATGCATAGTTTGTATGCAAATAATACTACATTTTATATGAGTGACTTGAGCGTCCACAAAGTTTGGTATGAGAGAGGTGGTTTCTGGAACTAATTTCCCCTGGATACTGACGGATGACTGTGTACCCTATGACCAGCAGTTTTACTTTTGAGAAATATGTACACACGTGTACCAACAACGTGTACAAAAATATTCATAGCAGCATTATTCATAATAGCCTGAAACTGAATGTCCATCAAGAGAATGGATAAATGAATTGTGGTATATTTGTACAATGGAATACCATATAAGCAATGAAAATGAACCAATTCCTATATACAGCAACATGGATAAATCTCATAAACTTACCATTGATCAAAGGAAGCCAGAAGCAAAAGAATACATACAATACAGCATAATTTATACAAAGTTCAAAAATGAACCAGACCAGCCTACAGTGTTAGAAGTCAGGGTGCGGTTTTGAGCACGTTGGGTACTTATGGGCAAGGAGCATGGAAGGGGCTCCTGGGATTGGTAAGATTGCATTAAAAACCTGATTGTGTTCACTTGGTGAGGAGAATTTTTTGAGCACTGTGCTTACGATTTGTGTATTTTTCTGTGTATTAATTTTCAATAAAAACATTTTTAAGTGGATGTAATCAAACAAAAGTAGTTGAGTCAACTGGGTAATGAACATTACATATTTTTCTATACTATTCTCTGTTGTGTATATTTGAAAATCTCCATAATAAAAACCCTTTTAAAAAGTCAATCCAGAAAGTGGAAAGCAATATACTGTACTTGCAGGAAGTAGAAACCAATATACTGTACTTGCAGGAAGTAGAAAGCGATGCACTGTACCTGCAGGAAGTAGAAAGCGATGCACTGTACCTGCAGGAAGTAGAAAGCGATACACTGTACCTGCAGGAGGTAGAAAGCGATGCACTGTACCTGCAGGAGGTAGAAAGCCATGCACTGTACCTGCAGGAAGTAGAAAGCGGTGCACTGTACCTGCAGGAAGTAGAAAGCGGTGCACTGTACCTGCAGGAAGTAGAAAGCGGTGCACTGTACCTGCAGGAGGTAGAAAGCCGTGCACTGTACCTGCAGGAGGTAGAAAGCGGTGCACTGTACCTGCAGGAAGTAGAAAGCGGTGCACTGTACCTGCAGGAGGTAGAAAGCCGTGCACTGTACCTGCAGGAGGTAGAAAGCGATGCACTGTACCTGCAGGAGGTAGAAAGCGATGCACTGTACCTGCAGGAAGTAGAAAGCGATACACTGTACCTGCAGGAGGTAGAAAGCCATGCAGTGTACCTGCAGGAGGTAGAAAGCCATGCAGTGTACCTGCAGGAGGTAGAAAGCGATGCACTGTACCTGCAGGAGGTAGAAAGCGATGCACTGTACCTGCAGGAGGTAGAAAGCGATGCACTGTACCTGCAGGAGGTAGAAAGCGATGCACTGTACCTGCAGGAGGTAGAAAGCGATGCACTGTACCTGCAGGAGGTAGAAAGCGATACACTGTACCTGCAGGAGGTAGAAAGCCATGCAGTGTACCTGCAGGAGGTAGAAAGCCATGCACTGTACCTGCAGGAGGTAGAAAGCGATGCACTGTACCCGCAGGAGGTAGAAAGCGATGCACTGTACCCGCAGGAGGTAGAAAGCCATGCACTGTACCTGCAGGAGGTAGAAAGCGATGCACTGTACCTGCAGGAGGTAGAAAGCCATGCACTGCACTTGCAGGGAAACTGTGATGAGGCAGAGCCGGATGTTCTCCTAGCACTGCCAGTTGCCTTTCTGTCTTACATATTAATATTTTTATAGGTCATGCTTCACCCCTTCCTCCATCTGCTGCACCTACCACTGATTCTACAGATTCCATAACAGGACAGAATTCAAGACAGAGAGAAGAAGAGCTGGAATTAATAGACCAACTGCGTAAAGTATGTACATTACCTTTGATTTACACTTTTTCAGTATTACTGCTATAGATCATAATCCTGTGATCACGTCTTCATTTGACACATCATTTTTATTTATTTTTTTTTTAGACGGAGTCTCACTCTGTCACCCAGGCTGGAGTTCAGTGGCATGATCCTGGCTCACTGCAGCCTATGCCTCGTGGGTTCAAGCAATTCTTCTGCCTCAGCCTCCTGAGTCGCTGGGATTACAGGCGCCCATCACTGCACCCAGCTAGTTTTTGTATTTTTAGTAGAGAAGGAGTTTCACCATGTTGGCCGGGCTGGTCTCGAACTCCTGACCTCAGGTGATCCACTGGCCTCGACCTCCCACAGTGCTGGGATGGCAGGCGTGAGCTTCCGCGCCCGGCTGTAATTTTTAACAGATTAGTGCTGGGATTGCAGGCGTGAGCTTCCGCGCCCGGCTGTAATTTTTAACAGATTAGTGCTGGGATGGCAGGCGTGAGCTTCCGCGCCCGGCTGTAATTTTTAACAGATTAAATGAGTGCCCATTGTGTGCCATGTTTTGTGATGAATGTAAACATTTTGCTATTAAGGAAATTCTTTTCAGCTATTTACTTAGAAAATGAGATAGATGGCTTATTCTATAAAGCTCAATTCCTAGCTCTACTCATTTAAATTTTTTCCTTTTTTCTACTTCCTGTTATAAAGAAATATTGTCAGTAATAATTTATATGTGTGTGCACACATATATAAATATCACACTTACACATATATAGTGAGTGATTGCCTCTTTATTTTATGTTGGAATTGAAGGAGAATCTAGGTTTTTTTTTTTAATCAGAAAGTTGTAAATGAATTTTTGTTGTACTTTGTACCACTATGCCCTGGCTGCCGTCCATATATATTAGATCTCCTTAAGTTAAACTTAGGATAGAGGGATAAAATGGATATTGTGGTACTTATTTCCTTTTTATCTTGATTTTTAATTAGATTTCATTATAACTCCCTTATGTCCTATATGTCAGTCTTTCTTCAATTAATCTATTACATGTTTTTTGTTCTTTCAGCATATTGAGTACCGGTTGAAAGTGTCTCTACCTTGTGATCTCGGAGCAGCTCTAACTGACGGTGTTGTTCTTTGCCATTTGGCCAATCATGTGCGACCTCGATCTGTCCCAAGCATTCATGTTCCCTCACCAGCTGTAGTAAGTTGATAATCCTAAAAAGCCTTGGCTATTCATCAGACATTTGTTAAGCACAGTGGACAGACATTTCTTAAGCATTGTGCTAGATATTAAGGATACAGATATAAAGAGTCCAGTCTCTACCTTCCTGGTCTCACTTCTACTCGAGAAGAAATAGACATGTATACAGCTACTTACAGCAGTGCGATAAATGTAAGAAAGGCATGTACAGTGTGTGTTATAGGGATATAAAAAGGGGCCACTTAACTCCACCTGGAGAGTTCAGGGAAGCCTTCCCAGAACGGGCAAAATTTGAACTAATTCTTGAAGTTTAAGAAGGAATTTTCCAGCAGTACAGAGAGGGGAGGGGGCCTTCCAGGCATAGGATTTCTAGATTCAGAAGCTAAGGAAAGTTTGGCTTTTACTTAAGGAATTGGTAAATTGTTCAGAATGGATCGTGCACAGGGTTGTAATACAAATGGTAAGGGGTAAGGCTAGAGACGTGAGCTGGGGCCGTGGTACAAAGGCCTTATGAACCGTGTGAAGGACGTTTACCCTAGTACAGACAATGAGGATACACTGAATTAAAGAGGGAATACCATGATTCTAACTGCAGTTTAGAATGACGAATCTAGGCTGGGCGCGGTGGCTCATGCTTATAATCTTTGCAATTTGGGAGGCCGAGGCAGACGATTGCTTGAGCCCAGGAGTTTGAGACCAGCCAGGACAATATGGCAAAACCCCGTCTCTACCAAAAATACAAAAATCAGCTGGGTATGGTGGCATGTGCCTATAGTCCCAGCTACTCAGGAGGCTGATGTGGGAGGATCACTTGAGCCCAGGAGTTCGAGGCTGCAGTGAGCCGTGATTGTGCCAGTGCACTCCAGCCTAGGTGAGAGAGCAAGACCCTGTCTCAAAGAAAAAAAAAAAAAAAAAAAAGGAATGATGAATCTAGGTGCTAAGTGAGAAATGGAAAAATTAAAGGTGGTACACTACAAAGATGCCCAAGCCAGGCTCAGTGGCTTGTGCCTGTAGTCCCAGCTACTTGGGAGCCTGAGGCATGAGGATCCTATGAGCCCAGGAGTTTGAGACCAGCTTGGGTGATCTTGTTTCTTAAAAGAAAAAGGAAAAGAGACTGGGTGCACTGGCTTACGCCTATAATCCCAGCGTTTTGGGAGCCCGAGGCTGGTGGATCACCTGAGGTCAGGAGTTCGAGACCAGCCTGGCCAACATGGTGAAACCCCAACTCTACTAAAAATACAAAATTAGCCAGGAGTGGTTCATACATCTGTAATCCCAGCTACTTGGGAGGCTGAGCCAGGAGAATCACTTGAACCCAGGAGGCGGAGCTTGCAGTGAGCTGAGATCGCACCACTGCACTCCAGCCTGGGCAAGACAGAGCGAGACTCTGTCTCAAAAGAAAAAAAGGGAAAAGAAAAGAAAGATGCCCAATTAAAAGGCTGTTGTATTAGTCCAGGCCAGGAAGATAACAAGCCGGGACTAAAGCCTGGACTAACTGGGCAGTGAGAGGGAAGATGGTTCAAAGGTAAAACTGACATGATCTGTGACCGACCTCAGGTGGAAGATGAGGGAGAAAATGCATTCAGGATAACTGGCAGGTTCTCTTTGCACTGCTGGTCAGGTCTGGGCATCAGTTTCAGGATGGCAGTCCACAAAAGAACAGGCTTTGGGTTGACACACCCCTCCTCTGTTTTCCTCACATTTTTATCATGAAAAATTTCAACCTTCAGAAAAGTGGAAAGAATCCTACAACGAACACTATTAAAGTCTGCACCTAGATCTGACGTTTCTTGCATTTTGCCGCACTTGCTTTATGTATCTATATTTGTATGTGTATTTTAACTACACCATCCAAAACTTACAGATGTAATATACTTTTCCCCCAGTGTGTTTCAGGGACCTGTCCTAGGCCACCTTGCTCTTCCCTTAAGCCCATAGCCAGTGACGGACAAGCATGGGGCTGAGCCCTCCTACCTCAAGGAGGGAGTGTCGTGTGGTTCACACTTGTGAGCTCCCTGTGGGATCAAGCTGAAGCTGAGAAGGAGACAAGCAGGAGGATCACCTGTGGCTGGGAGTTTAAGACCAGCCTGGGCAATATAGTGAGATCCCATCTCTACAAAAATACTTAAAAAAATTAGGCGTGCACCTGCTACTCAGGAAGCTGTGGCGGGAGGATCACTTGGGCCCAGGAGTTTGAGGCTGCAGTGAGCCACGATCATGCCACTGCACAACAACCTGGGCAACAGAGCGAGACCCTGACCCTAAAAAAGAAAGAAAGGGCCAGGCACAGTGGCTCTTGCCTGTAATCCCAGCACTTTGGGAGGCCCAGGTGGGCAGATCACGAGGTCAGGAGTTCGAGACCATCCTGGCCAACATGATGAAACCCCATCTCTACTAAAAATACAAAAATTAGCTGTGCATGGTGGTGCACACCTGTAGTCCCAGCTACTTGGGAGGCAGAAGCAGGAGAATCACTTGAGTCCAAGAGACGGAGGTTGCAGTGAGCCAAGATAGCACCACCACACTCCAGCCTGGCGACAGAGTGAGACTCTGTCTCAAAAGAAAAAAAAAAAAAAAAAAGACTGAAAGGAAATGAATCAAGTGTTGTAGTTACATTTAAATGATGAACTATGGGTAATTAATTTTTTTGGCTGTTCCTCCAAGTTTTCTTTAGTGCAGGGGTCCCCAACCCCTGGGCCACAAATGGGTACCAGTCTGTGGCCTGTTAGGAACTGGGCTGCACAGCAGGAGGTGAACAGGCCAGTGAGCAAAGCTTCATCTGTATTTACAGCCACTCCCCATTACTCACATCACCACCCGAGCTCTGCCTCCTGTCAGATCAGCAACAGTATTAGATCCTCAGAGGAGCATGAACGCTGGTGTGAACTGCGCATGCGAGGAAGGGATCTAGGCCACGGGCTCCTTATGAGAATCTAATGCCTGATGATCTGTCAGTGTCTCCCATCATCCCCAGATGGGACTGTCTAGTTGCAGGTAAACAAGCTCAGGGCTCCCACTGACTCTACATTACGGTAGATTTCATTATGTATGATTATTTCATTATATATTACAATGTAATAATAGAAATAAAATACACAATAAATGTAATGTGCCTGAATCAGCCTGAAACCATCCCCCCCAGCTCCAGCCCTGTCCATGGAAAAATTGTCTTCTGTGAAACCAGTCCCTGGTGCCAAAAAGGTTGAGGACTGCTGCCTTAGTGTTACACTGTTTTAAAATGGAAAAAAAAAGTTTGTAACTATTCGTTCAAAGTTTTTCTATTTAGTACTTGCCTTCCAAAATCAAAGCCAATGTCTCAAGTGTGGGGTGACAAAGTACTGCCCACAGGCCAGCACTTCTTCTTGTAAATCAAGTTTCACTGGAACCCAGTCACACTTTCTTGTTTGCATATTGTCTATAGTTGCTTTCAAGCTCCTGGCAGACTCGAGTGGTTGCAACAGTTCTTTTTTTTTTTTTGAAATGGAGCTTTGTTCTTGTTGCCCAGGCAGGAGTGCAATGGTGCGATCTCAGCTCCCCACAACCTCTGCCTCCCGGGTTCCCGGGTTCAAGTGATTCTCGTGCCTCAGCCTCCCGAGTAGCTGGGATTACAGGTGCCCGCCACCACACCTGGCTAATTTTTGTATTATTAGTAGAGACGGGGTTTCTCCATGTTCGTCAGGCTGGTCTCGAACTCCCGACCTGAGGTGATCCGCCCACCTCAGCCTCCCAAAGTGCTGGGATTATGGCGTGAGCCACCGCACCTGGCATTGCAACAGTTCTTATGGCCCTCAGAACTAACATTTATTATCTGATCCTTTAAAAAAAAGTTCGCTGACCCCCTAGTCTACAGCATTGAGAGTTATGAAGCGATTGCCAGGAGTATTTCTAAAGTTAGCAAATATTTTTTAATGTTGCTAGTAGGCTGGGCATTTAGCTGATGCCTCTGATCCCAGCACTTTGGGAGGCTGAGGCAGGCAGATTGCTTGAACTCAGGAATTCAAGACCAGCCTGGGCAACGTGGCGAACCCTGTCTCTACAAAAATTGCCCAGGTGTGATGGCATGCAACTATAGTCCCAGCTACTTGGGAGGCTGAGGTGGGAGGATCACCTGAGCCTGGGAGGTCAATGATACAGCGAGCCAGGCTTGCGCCACTGCACTCCAGCCTGGGTGGCAGTGAGACCCTGTCCCAGAAACAAAACTTCTCTAGTAACACATTTTCTTTTCCTCATTTCAGCCTAAATTAACAATGGCGAAATGCAGGCGAAATGTGGAAAATTTCCTAGAAGCTTGCAGAAAAATTGGTGTACCTCAGGTAATAAATTTATCATTTTTTATGTTGCCTAAATAGACTTGGTTGTCCTAAAATTTTAGAAATGTAAATCTCTAAAATCTTACAGGACTAGCTCTGAGCTAAGTCGATCATAATTAACATGACTTTGTGTTACAAGAGTCAGTGTACTTTTGAACAGTTTTCCTTGATTATTTCCAAGGACCACACAAAGAAATTATAAATATATAGATTGAAATAAGTATAAGTAATTTGAAATAATTATTCTATTTTCCTAAACTTTCCCACTTGCTATTTGACAACTAAATATATCCTTCAAAAACTAAGTATATCTCAGATTGAGAATGCTGCAGTTGGCTTCAGTGTTCTAACACTTGCTTTGATACTTTTTAAAATGTTTTAGACTTCCAGAAATGTTGAAAAAATAGCCTAGAGTTCCTTTTGTATACTTCAGTCAATTTCTTCTAATGTTAACTAACGTCTAATACAAACATAGGACAGTAATTCAAACTAAGTAACATGAGAACAATACGATTAACTGAATTACAGGCTTTATTTGGATTTCATCAGTTTTTCCATGAAGCTCTGGTTCTTTGGAGTCTGGCATGCAACAGGCCATTTCTAAGCTGTTGTCCTGCTATGAGGATTTATTGCCTCCAGCTCAGTTATAACTTTATTGCCCTTTAATATTACAAATAGTTAAATTTATTTATAGATGCGATTAAGGGAAATGAACTTGATACAGTCTTATCCAATAACCCCTTTAAAAAGCAATTATATTAAACCAACTAAGTATTATACTATTAAGGAATATTATGTGGTATAAAGACAAATTTAAAGAAATAAATGACTTGGTGCCATGTGATACTTTTTCATTAACCACGACCATTACAAGTCTTGTTAACATATTTTGTCTATAGCCTGCAAGGAGGAAAACATGATTCTTCTCTATCACCTTCTAATTAGGTATCAGTAACTCAGGGGTGGCCCTGGGGCTCATCAACAGCTCCACCATTGCTCTCAGAGTTTGGTTCCTGTTCCTGTAGCTTCCATGACAGTGATTCTCTTTACCCAACTCACCGCACCCATGGCAGTGATTCTCTTTACCCAACTCACCGCACCCATGACAGTGATTCTCTTTACCCAACTCACCGCACCCATGGCAGTGATTCTCTTTACCCAACTCACCGCACCCATGGCAGTGATTCTCTTTACCCAACTCACCGCACCCATGGCAGTGATTCTCTTTACCCAACTCACCGCACCCATGGCAGTGATTCTCTTTACCCAACTCACCGCACCCATGGCAGTGATTCTCTTTACCCAACTCACCGCACCCATGGCAGTGATTCTCTTTACCCAACTCACCGCACCCATGGCAGTGATTCTCTTTACCCAACTCACCGCACCCATGGCAGTGATTCTCTTTACCCAGTTCACCGCACCCATGGCAGTGATTCTCTTTACCCAACTCACCGCACCCATGGCAGTGATTCTCTTTACCCAACTCACCGCACCCATGGCAGTGATTCTCTTTACCCAGTTCACCGCACCCATGGCAGTGATTCTCTTTACCCAACTCACCGCACCCATGGCAGTGATTCTCTTTACCCAACTCACCGCACCCATGGCAGTGATTCTCTTTACCCAGTTCACCGCACCCATGGCAGTGATTCTCTTTACCCAACTCACCGCACCCATGGCAGTGATTCTCTTTACCCAACTCACCGCACCCATGGCAGTGATTCTCTTTACCCAACTCACCGCACCCATGGCAGTGATTCTCTTTACCCAACTCACCGCACCCATGACAGTGATTCTCTTTACCCAGTTCACCGCACCTCTTTCTAACTAGCCAGGAGTTGACTAGGCCACAGCATCACATGTTACAAAGTGAAAGAGAGAGCGCCCAGCTCCACAGATCATCTGTGTCAGCCAGCAGGATTCCCAGGATTGTTTTTCTCTTATGAAAGTAGATCATCATTCTATTATTTATTTTTTACTTTTTTCTTTTGCTGTTTTTTTTTTAACTGAATTATACAAGAATGGAAATTTACATAAAGTGGTAGTTAGCAAACACCTTTTTGATTCCTATGGACAAATTGAAAGCAAAATTTTCGTTTTTATATTATGTTGTTTTATAAAGGGTCATCTTTTAGAACAGACCTTTTTAAATATTTTGAGAGCACTGAATATGGTTTCTGAAGAAATAACATACATTCTTTTAAACAAGTTTATTCTAATAGTGCACATTAGCCTCCAGTTCTTCCCTTCTGCTTCCTAAAGAGGTTCTTGCTACACAAACATCCAGTGTCTGCTCTAGTTCCCTGCCACAGTGTCTTTAAACAAAGAGAGTATGGCATGGGTTGGTGCAGAGAATGGGAAATGCAAAATAGACAGGAGAGTGCTGAAAATGGCCCCACTCAAGCAAGTCATGTTGACTTACCAGATGTCAAAACCTGTTGAAAGGTCTAAGCCTGTCCGCGGGGCTTTCGGAAGCATCCTCTGAGGGTCTCTGAGATTTAAAGTCCGTACCTTGGAATTATTTCAGGATGTTCCCACCATCAGCCAACAAAGTACAAAACAGTGTGCCTTAAAATACACATTTAAGTTGGTATTTGCATGCAGTGGTTGACCATGTTTGTTATGGGCCAGCCTGCCCCTGTTCCTACCAGAGCTGTGCTGTTGGAAGGCAAGTACGAAGAAAAAAAAAATACAGTTTTAAAAGACTGGGTCTTTTTCCAGAGTGGTTAGGCTGAGGTTTTGATGCATCCTCCCTCCTTCTCCGTCACCAGAAAGAGGAAATGGACGTTCCCATAGGCTGCCCCTTCCTTCTCCCCTTCCACCTCCCACCCACGTCCCCACCACAACCACTGCCAGTTTTACACGGCTTCCTAGCAAGCTGCTACTTCTGCTGAAAAATTAGTCATCTGTCTAGAACAAAGTGAAAGAAAATGAATAAACGCACAAACTCGTAGGTTCAAACTAGCCTTCTGAGGTCCCTCTGCCAGAGGAAGAGAAGAAACTTCTACCTCCTCGTCTTCCTTTTTCTCCTGGTCTCCAGGTCATTCTGGCCTTTACTTAAACATCCCCACTTTGCTCTGTGTGACTTGAACATTGGGAATGTAATAATGACCACTTTTGAAAATGTAAAACAGAAAACAATATTACAAATATTTTTGTCAGATTCTATACCCAGGTAAGATAGATAAAGACAAATAATTTCCCTTCTCTGTGTAACTTTTAAAGTGTTGTACAAGTTAAAGTATGAGTGAAATACTGAAGAACAAGGCAGTTATTAAAAACCTCTGATGACATTGGGCATGTGGGTATTTGCTTTATTTTTATGCTTCTATTCAATATGCTACATTCAAAAAAACTGTAATGGGTGATTAAAAACTTGTATCTGAGTCCAGTATCTTTTGTCCCAGAGTCGTTATGTTATGTGTTAAAGGATGTCTGTCTCCCTGTTGTCAAGTCCATTCTTGTATTTATTTAATGAATTTTGCAATCTGTAAAATGGAGGGTTTGGATGATCTCTGAGGCCCTTAACAGCTCTGCCTTCATTTTGAACACATTCTCGAGCTGGACTTGGTTAAAATAGACACCCCCTGGCCGGGCGCGGTGGCTCACGCCTGTAATCCCAGCACTTTGGGAGGCCGAGGTGGGCGGATCACGAGGTCAGGAGATCGAGACCATCCTGGCTAACATGGTGAAACCCCGTCTCTACTAAAAATACAAAAAATTAGCCGGGCGTGGTGGCGGGCGCCTGTAGTCCCAGCTGCTCGGGAGGCTGAGGCGGGAGAATGGCGGGAACCCGGGAGGCGGAGCTTGCAGTGAGCCGAGATCAGCGAGACTCCGTCTCAAAAAAAATAAAAAATAAAAAAATAAAATAAAACAGACACCCTCTGATTTTTAGAGGAATGCCAAGTCATTGAATGCATTTGGCTTCTGGGTAGTAAATTACCCCCGGATCATGAGGCTTTCCTCAGTCTTTGAACCTTTTTGATGTACATGGCTTTCTCCAAAAACGTCCGTCTCCTCAGCCTCTGCAGTTTTCGTCCTTGCTTTCTGACCTACTTTTTTTTTTTTTTTAAATAGAGGAGAATGAGTCAGGAAAGAGGTTGCTTCACACACACCTCACTACATTCAGGCCTCACACGACCCTAAACCAACATCCACTTCTGTGTATTGTATTTTTTTTTTTTTTTTGAGACGGAGTCTCGCTCTGTCACCCAGGCTGGAGTGCGGTGGCGCGATCTCGGCTCACTGCAAGCTCCGCCTCCCGGGTTCCCGCCATTCTCCTGCCTCAGCCTCCCGAGTAGCTGGGACTACAGGCGCCCGCCACCACGCCCGGCTAATTTTTTGTATTTTTAGTAAAGACGGGGTTTCACCGTGTTAGCCGGGATGGTCTCGATCTCCTGACCTCGTGATCCACCCGCCTCGGCCTCCCAAAGTGCTGGGATTACAGGTGTGAGCCACCGCGCCCGGCCTGTGTATTGTATTCTTAATGTTCAGACCAGTCACCAACAAACGAATTTTATTCTGCTATTTAGTAGTAAGATCAGGCTCAGCATGGAGAAGATTCTTTGTAGTTTGGGTTTTCAGCGTTTTATTTTTGTTCCTCAATGTAAAAATGTTACAGGATGTGTATATGTGAATATGACTGAGATGATCATATGAATTCTATACTCAAATCTGCATTTCTGATCCACTGACTTTGTTTTTCTGTTTTCCTTTCCTGCTTACACTTTGGACAGGACAATCTTTGTTCCCCTTCCGACATCCTTCAGCTAAACCTCAGCGTTAAAAGAACTGTTGAAACGCTCCTTTCTCTTGGGGCACACTCAGAAGAATCCAGTTTTGTCTGTCTCTCTCTGCAGCTTCTGGGTTTTGTGGCATTTTACTGTACTGTGATGTTAACTCTCTGTGTGCTTTATTACTGGCTCTTCCCCGCTCGCTGAAAGATTGCACTCCGGTGACTTTCTGCCTCATTCCTGTGCTTGGTAAAGGAGGTTTGTTTCTCATCCAGAATTATTTACATAAGTGCTTTTTCTCCCTGCTGGCCCTCAAAGAGCTAACCCATAAAGGAGGTAAATCCTTTCTTTATATTTGCAGATGAGCACCCCCTCACATTAGTAAACATTTACGATTGCTAACAAAGAGTAAAAGACCAGCATTTTTTCTCCTGGTCATCCGTCCATTCTCCTGGCCTGTGGCCTTGTTTCTCTTACCATAAATGCTGAAGCATTTTTACTAATACAATTCTGAACTTGTACTTCGAATATGACATGTAGAGCTTTATTTCCAAGTCACACAATACAACTCCCATCTGGCCATTTTTCCGTGCCTCAGCACAAGTGTTGAATTGTGGAGTGACTGAACCTTTGCAGCAGCTGCTCACGAGGAGAACCGTCGTGCCTTTTCTGGTTTTGGCCGCACCCGGTTACTTAGATTTCTGCTTTGAACTGTGTCCTGAGATCCTGAATCCCCGCTTTGTCGGTAGGCACAGGTCCATATAAGCATTTGCGGTCTGGACGTTTCAAAGGTATTGGCCATAATTTTAATAATTTTAGTTTGGTCAGAATGTTCAGTTTGAAGATCACCCACATTCCCTAGACTGCTCTTCTGAGCCCAGTCTATACGCTGTATGTGCTGCACACGAGCAGATGGGCTGGAGCTGGCCTCTCAGGGTGGGCACCTTCCAGATTGTGTTTGTTATGTGTGACTGAGGTTCACTCCCAGCATTCTGTTTAAATTTGGAATTTATGTGATTTCTAACATATTCAAACCTTCTTAATAGTGAAACAGTAGCAGGAGAAGTATTAGGGCAGCAGTCCCTGTTCTGTGCTCAAGGCAGTGAATATTGTCTAGCTCTTTCAGAATGCGTAGCACTTAGCTGCTAGACGTTAATGCTGGAAACTATAATTGCGGTTAGATTCTAGTTTCATAAGTGGTGTTTCTGAATATTCAGGAACCTTCTGAACTCTGTTAACAAAATTGGGATAAAGGATGAACTCAAGTGTGAAGAGAGATTGTGAGGAGCATAATATCCGGTTTAGAATTCAGCCTGAGGGAGGAGCATAACATCTGGGTGTAGAATTCAGCCTGAGGGGCTCACTGGTTTGGTTTTCTTCCATATGAAATGGGACAGCTATTTTCACAGGTCAAAAGACTGTTCACTATTAATGCTGAAACACTCAACACTGTGATGATGAAAACTTCAGTTTTCTGTGTCAGTAGGTGCCTTTCAGACTTTGGGGAATTGGGTTGGTTATATTTTTAAGATGTCTCAGAGTTGAAACACCTGTTAAAAAACACACACAGGCTCTCATGTGGTTTAGGGGTTGTAATTGTACATTCTCTTGAGAACACACGGCACTCCCTCTAGTCCAGCTGGGAGGTGAGGGTGCCCCAGAAAGCACAGGCTTCTGAGTGTGAACACCGGCCGCGCAGGTCCTAGGGCGCTGCTGAGAGGAAGAGACCAGGGAATCAGCCTTGGAGAAAGCACGTCTCTTCCGACAGCAAAACACTGGGCAGGTTCATTTTAAGTATCATTTATCTAGACTTGCAGTTGCACTCAAAGTATTTCTACAAAGTTGCTAGTTTTTTTAGATCAAAAGATTACAGTTACCTCATTTTATCAAAATAAGTATTAAATAAAAAGTAAGCACAAGTACCAATAACTGCCTCAAAAATACTTGTTATATATTTTATTGTAACTGGTTTTATAAAATTTCCTAGTAATATCGTCTCAATGAAAAGCAAAACAAAAAACAAAAAACAAAAAAACCCAACTAGTTGTTTTAACAAACATATATAATCTTTTTTTAGTGGCACCAGAATTCTATATTCTGTTCTTTGTAAGAGCAATCTCTTTTCTTTTTGGAATATTTAATCTTAACAGAAAGCTAGTGATAAATGCTGTTCTTAAGATTTGCCTTTTTCTCTCACAAGAAAGGGTTAACCTAACAAATTAACGATGCACACATTAAGGAAGCGTTTAACTTCCTCAAGCAAACAGTGTCAACACTTCTCACATGTTGGTAATCAACATGTTCCTGCCTAAGCTTACATAGTAGTTCCCTGGAATAATTCAGGCTGTTAAATACCAGGATATTAAATCCTTTACATTTTCAAATACTGCTTTTAATTCTGTAATTCAGATTTTTAATTCAGACAGGCCCTTCCATGAATTATTCAAATTAGGGGGAAGTTTCTCAAGAGCTCAGGATACACTGAGTTTCTTGCCCTATCTGGTCTGGAAACCCTGGTTTTCACAGTCAGGATTATAATGCAGATAGCGTAGAACTCATGCAGGCTGAGTTATGTTTTCAAACTATCTTTCATTCTTGTGGTAGGGAACTTACCCTCAAGTGTAGTATCTTTTACTCTTGAGCCATCTGGTAGCGTGGAATTGTTTTTCTATTTTTCACCTGCCTATTTTATAGACCTGTATTGACCTTTTATTCATCAGGGATAAAGGATGTTGCTTTCACCCTGCGGTATTGTTTTCCCTCTGTTGTATGTATAGATATATGCTACTTGTCAATTTTCCAATTTTGAAAATGATCTGTATGTACTTTTAGTTGTATTAATAAAGTGACAGTGAGTGTCAGACACCATCTCTCTAACTCATATTTACACTGAGGTCAGTTTCCCAGGTACTAATTTTCATATCTAAGTTGATGATTGTGAAGGGGAGAAGTGCTTATTTTTTCCTTTCAGTTCTATGATATTCATCCGATTTTCTTTTTTGTTTGTTTTCATGTTACGTTGTCCCTTTCAGGAGCAATTATGTTTGCCTCTCCACATTTTAGAAGAGAAAGGTTTGAGCCAGGTTGCAGTGACGGTCCAGGCTCTCCTGGAACTTGCCCCACCCAAGCAACAGCAGCACCAGTTATCTGCTGTTTGAGGATCCCCAGGACGGTGGGCACTGGCCTGGCCAAAACAAGGAACAGGACACCGTGATTGCTGCTGCCAGCTGTCTGCTTAAACAAAGCTCTTGTGTGTTCTCAGAAGGGACCGTTCCCATGATTCCTAACAGGAATATTTTGCTTCATTTCTCCATTTTAGGGGAGGTTATTTCCATTTCCATTGAATTTTTTTACGAAGACACCATTGGTTTTCTCAGATGAAACTTCTCTTACTGAAAACCCAGCACCTAACTTGGCTGTGTTTTCCTGGAGAGCAGGCGTGTTTCACGTGCCAGAAAGCACATCTTCTGTGTTAGGCACAAGCATGCTGTGCCATTGTTTTTACCTGGTCTCAAGACAACTGGTCTGCTGGTTTCTAAACTTGGTTGTTCATTAGACTCTCCTGGAGTATTTGTTAAAATACAGATTCACATTCAGTAGAGCTGGGGTAAGGCCTAGGAATCTGCATTTTCAACAACCATTGCACATGTTTTTGTTTTTGTTGGAGAAGGAGTTCTGCTCAGTCGCCCAGGCTAGAGTGCAGTGGCATAATCTCAGCTCACTGCAACCTCCGCCTCCCGGGCTCAAGCGATTCTCCTGCCTCAGCCTCCCGAGTAGCTGGGACAACAGGTGCCCGCCACCATGCCTGGCTAATTTTCTTGTATTTTTAGTAGAGATGGGATTTTGTCATGTTGGCCAGGCTGGTCTCAAACTCCTGACTTCAAGTGATCCACCTGCCTCGGCCTCCCAAAATGCTGGGATTACAGGCGTGAGCCACTGTGCCCGGCCTCCCAGAGTGCTGGGATGACAGGCGTGAGCCCCCGCGCCCGGCCTCCGAGAGTGCTGGGATTACAGGCGTGAGCCACTGTGCCCGGCCTCTGAGGGTGCTGGGATTACAGGCGTGAGCCACTGCGCCCGGCGCCCGGCCCATTGCACGTGTTTTTCATGTAGTGGAACCACTGTTCAAAGCTAGATATTTGTATGTTTGCGGGGGAGGGTAATGGCCCCCTGCATTTTTCACCCACATTTAAAATCAAAAGCTATATTATGAGGAGTTGGACTGTTCTGTCAAAGGCAAAACAAAAATAATATAGAAGGCCTAGGTTTTGCATAGTCTTCTTTTTTTTAAGAGTTGGGGTCTTGCCGTATTGCCCAGGCTGGTCTGAAACTCCTGGGCTCAACTGATCCTCCCGCCTCAGCCTCCCAAAGTGCTGGGATTACTGGAGTGAGCCATCGGGCCTGGCCCAGATTTTGCATAGTAAAACAGTGAAACAGATAGAGTTGTATTTAAGGTCAGTATTCTAGGCCTCCCTTCAACTGCAGTCATACCATCATAGAAGATAGTTCTATGTCATCCTGTTATCTGGACATTATAATAAACAACAAGCCCTCTATACACAGGTTCCAAACCCCGTTATCTAGACATTATCAACAACAAGCCCTCTCTCTATACAGAGTTTCCAAATTCTGAAGCTGATAGCGCACTTGGTCTCACTGAGCCTCCCTCCCCGCCCTCCTGCTGCTCCTCAGACATCTGGGCCTGCAGACACATTGCAGTTACAGCACATACACTTCTAGCTCGGAAAAGCCTAGTTTCTTGTATTTCTTTCAGGTAACTGCCAGTTTCTGTGGCTGAATTTAAGCACTTACAGCATCTTCCTAGCTGGGTGTGGTGGCTCACACCTGTAATCTCAGCACTTTGGGAGGCTGAGGCGGGCAGATCACCTGAAGTTGGGAGTTTGAGACCAGCCTGACCAACATGGAGAAACCCCGTCTCTACTAAAAATACAAAATTAGCTGGGCGTGGTGGTGCATGCCTGTAATCCCAGCTACTCGGGAGGCTGAGGCAGGAGAATTGCTTGAACCCAGGAGGCGGAGGTTGTGGTGAGCCAAGATCGTGCCATTGCACCCCAGCCTGGGCAACAAAAGCGAAATTCCATCTCAAAAAAAGAAAACGCGCCCCATCTCGCTCCACCACAAGCGCCTTTATATACTCAATGATGGGTGGAGGAAAAGGGCCCAAGGGCTCACACCGCACAGGAGCCTTTACTCAAGTTTCAGCTAGTTTTCCTTCCCCTGCATTTTGAACTCCTTTTAGTTGTTGGTGATATCCTTTGGTGTTCACTGCCTTTGTAAAACAAGTAAATAAAGTAAGCGGAAGATATCTCTTTTGTTTCTGTAGTTGTTAACTGTTCTGGATTTTCTTTACAATGCATCCATTTGGGCATAATGTTATCCCTCTTTTTATCAGGTAAATGTAGCATCTAAAAGTAGCTTTGGATCAAATCATGTTGAATACCTGGTCAAAGTAATGTTTTCTTCCTTGTTCTTGCAGAGAAACAAATTCATCAGAACATTACCACTTGACCAGGTTTAAAATTGTATAACAGGCTGGGCATGGTGGCTCATGCCTATAATCCCAGCACTTTGGGAGGCCGAGGCAAGAGGATCACTTGAGCCCAGGAGTTTGAGAGCAGCCTGGGCAACATAGCAAGACCCTGTCTCCCAAAAATTAAAAAAAAAAAAAAAAAACCAGGTGTGGTGGCACCTGCCTGTACTCCCAGCTACTCAGGAGGCTGGGGTGGGAGGATCACTTGAGCCTGGGAGGTTGAGGCTACAGTGAGCCATGGCTGCACCACTGCACTCCAGCCTGGGCAACAGAGTGAGACCCCATCTCTAAAAATAAATTGTACAACATCTAACTTCAATGCCCAATCTTATAGAACAAAAGTAAAATGTCTTTATGTAAGACCCCATTATATTTACAGTTCCCAACAGACCCACCAACTCTTATATACCCTTATATAACTTGTTTAGAATTTAGCCATGTGCATTTTTAAACTGTGTTTGTCAACATTAAGCCTCAGTACAGTCTCCAAATTATATGCCACCAGAAATGAAATTCAGCAAAGGACAGGATTGTTTTTAACATACGCAAGCCAGCCTGGCCAACATGGTGAAACCTTGTCTCTACTAAAAATACAAAAATTAGCTGGGCGTGGTGGTGGGCACCTGTAATCCCAGCTACTTGGGTGGCTGAGGCACAAGAATCGCTTCAACCTGGAAGCCGAAGGTTGCAGTGGGCTGAGATTGTGCCACTGCACTCCAGCCTGGGCAACAGAGCGAGACTCTGTCTCAAAAAAAAAAAAAAAAAAAAACCCACCAAACCAAAAATATACTATGCAAGGAATAATTCTAGAAGACATTACATAATGCAATACTTGCAACATTTGCAACTAATTTTCCCATAGGGATAAATGGAAATTTCAACTTATTTCAAATTTTGCACATATTATGAAACCTTATTAATGTATTTTTATCAAACTAAATCAGATTTGTATTTGAATTGTTAGGAAAAACCATGTGCAGTTTTGGCTGATAATTGAAGGAAAAATATCAAATGCTTTGAATTTTTTTTCTCTTTTTTCAAACCCTCTGCAGAGGTAGGAAGGTATGAATTTCTTTTTTATGTCAAGATGCAAAAACAAATCATGATGCTTTTGTTGGGAGAATTTTTGTATTCAGTATTTTGTATGTACCTTTTTTTTTTTAAATTGGAAAGCACAATTCGGTTTAACATTTAGCTTTGCTTGACTCCAGTGTAAGATGAAGATGACCTTGTCACAGCTCCCCTGACCTGAAGCAGAGCCCTTCCCATCACTGACAGTGTTGGGGGTTGAGAGCCCCCCAGCAGAGCCCTTCCCATCACTGACAGTGTGTCGGCAGCTGAGAGCTCCCCCAGCAGAGCCCTTCCCATCACTGAACAGTGTTGGCGGCTGAGAGCCCCCCAGCAGAGCCCTTCCCATCACTGACAGTGTTGGGGGCTGAGAGCCCCCCAGCAGAGCCCTTCCCATCACTGAACAGTGTTGGCGGCTGAGAGCCCCCCAGCAGAGCCCTTCCCATCACTGACAGTGTTGGGGGCTGAGAGCCCCCCTAGCAGAGCCCTTCCCATCACTGACAGTGTCTGGGGCTGAGAGCCCCCCCTAGCAGAGCCCTTCCCATCACTGACAGTGTTGGGGGCTGAGAGCCCCCCAGCAGAGCCCTTCCCATCACTGACAGTGTCTGGGGCTGAGAGCCCCCCAGCAGAGCCCTTCCCATCACTGACAGTGTCTGGGGCTGAGAGCCCCCCCTAGCAGAGCCCTTCCCATCACTGACAGTGTCGGGTTGAGAGCCACCCCCAGCAGAGCCCTTGCCACGTACAGAGATTTTCTGTCAGCAGTTTCCCAGTATTTCAGACTCATAATCTGTGTTTAGCACTCCAGTGTTCTCTTGTAATAGCCAGGTCTGGAAACGACCCATGGAAAGAGGGGCCTTTGTATTCTGCTAGAACACAGAGCATAGTAGTAGATCACTTTTCTGAAGAGCTTTTTAAAATACAGCTAATCAAGGAGTTTGCGATTTCTCTTACTTTCTACAGCTCAGCAGTGACTAATGATGTGTGACTATGCGAATGAGTTTGATGAATTCGTAAAAACTAAGCGCTTAAATGGTTATAGAAATGAAAACATGGATATTTAGAAGCCTTTCTATATACACAGTGCAGTTGAGATGGTTTACAGCAAATTTCGTTTTATTTCTGAAAATGTTGTAAACATGTAATTAGTGAAAGATTTTGTAAAACATTGTCCTGTATTTTTGTCTGTAAATATATTGCATAAGTTCTAAGTATAAATATGTCAGTATCATGTATGTTATTTTAAATTGCCTGTACGCCACTTTACACATTGACATTCAAATAAAAGCCAACACTTCAGTGGCGTGTAATAAAAGCTGATTGGAGCGTGTTCATACCTGAGGTGTGGTTCCCTTGGCAAAGGTGAATCAAGGAAAGAGCATCTCATTTCCAGAGGGAATGTCAGTGGAAATGGGGGCTTCGGGACAAACTTTTGAGATCAAATTCATTTTTTAAGGAAGTACAGATATCAAGACTGAGCTTTATTTGGAGTTAGATAGAAGGCTTAATTCATGAAATGTATGTGACACATTAGGACAACTTTGCTCTTGGAAACCTTTAGCATCCCAAGGCATTGTTTTGACTCATCAAGGCAAGCATGATCTGGTGGGTGCATTTTTTTTCTAGGAGAAGAGGGAGAGTGACAGCTTTCCTATTTGCCAGGCACAAGTTAGATATTTTCACACACCTGATTTCTTTTCATCTTAACACTCCATAAAGTGGGGATTGGTGGCTCTAGTGTTTCACTTGTCAAAAATATCTCCAAACTAGCCTTCCAGAGAACCTGTGTCCCCATCTTTATAGTTTGTAAAGTTGTATATCCTAACATCCTATTTCTAGCTTGTATTTATAATTTGTATCCCTGTTTCCTAGAAAAGTTGCTGAAGCAGCTTACAACTGGATATGTATTCCATGCCATTTTCACCTGAATAAAAACACCAAAGTGACGATAAATCTAAAAGGCAGGCAGGAACCAACATTTATTAAAACTTTGCTGTGTATATATTATGCTGGACAGCTAATAACATCATATTGTAATTCCTACTGAATACTTTTGCTCATAAGAGTTTTTTCACTACAGACAAATTGGGTAAAATCAAAATCTGACATTACAGGAATTACTCAAGTTTCAATGCGTCACTGTAGCTAAGCCAGTGAACTCCTTTGTTCTGCTGAGAAAGAGCAAGAAGAATGAATCTTCACAGGACTACTAGAAACTTCTTCCCAGCAAGGTATGAGGAAGCCCTAAGTCAATGGTGTAATCCTAAATCAGGGTTTGAAAACCCACCTAACAGGCAGAGTGAAATTAACAGGCAAAGTGAAATCAGGCTTCCCTGGGAAAGTCTCAATAGGAAACAACCTGTAGATGAGTCATCTTTGAGGTACCAGGTGTTTCTTAACTCTCTCCAAGTCCTTCCCACCTCCAGAATACCAGCAGAAAACACAAAAGAGAACTTGGTCACTTCTTCTTGCCTCTCCTCTTATCCTTGCCTTTACCTTTGCCTTTTGAATCCTTGCTATCAACTTTGTCTTTAGGCATCTTGAAACCACCAATTTCTCTCCGTATCATAGTGCCTCGCCACCAGGCCTGGAGCTGGAAGAGAAAAGGGGAGTGAGTACGACGTATGCTATGCCTGACAAGCTGCATTCTTTCCACATAAAGGGACTGTTGAATAAAGTAACTTCTGTCTGACAAACAGTCTCTCTCCAGGACATGGAAGTAGCCAGGCACGTAATCACTTCAGCGATGCTCTCCTGTCGTGCAGGACCCGGAGCTTAAGCCATGGACTCAAGAGTGAAGTTCTCAAGTAAAAATAAAGAAAAGGAATCTGATTTGACCTATTTTTTCTTCACCCGTAGAAATCTGACTTCCTTATACTGCTTTCCTTGAGGAAAGTCCAGGTTCCCCATACTTAACAGCTATTTGAACCAAAAAGAATGTTAGTTACCTGGGCCAAGGGCAAAAGCACTCGGCCAAAAATGCACAGATAATGCCAGGTGCGGTGGCTCATGCCTGTAGTCCCAGCACTTTGGGAGGCTGAGGTGGGCAGATCACTTTGAGCTCAAGGGTTTGAGACCAGCCTGGGCAACATGGCAAGACCCTGTCTCTACAAAAATACAAAAAAGAAAAAAAATTAGTCAGGCCTGGTGGCTTGTGCCTATAGTCCCAGCTGTTTGGGAGGCTGAGGCAGGAGGATCTCTTGAGCCCGGGAAGCAGAGGTTGCAGTGAGCAGAGATTGCGCCACTGCACTCCAGCCTGAGTGACAAAGTGAGATGCTGTCTCAAAAAAAAAAAAAAGAAAAGCACAGATAAGTCTAGATGACTTTCATAGGCTTGCTTGTGCATTTCATATCTTTAGTGATTGCTTAAAAGATCAGTTGTCCTAGTACTTTTAAAAAAGATTTAGTTAGCTTTCTTGAATATCTTGGTTTTAGATAACAGTTGTTCTCAATACGGTCTCTACTGCTTTAAAGTCAGACTAAACCCTAAAGACTGGAAGCAAATCCACTAGTGAAAAGAAAGCAAACGTGCTCTTCAGCTCGTTCTTAACATGTTTGTTGTAAATTCAGGAATACTGACAAGTTTTATGGGGAAACACCATTGAAACTTGATAAATACTTGCTACTTACACATCTGACTCCTTATGGGAAGCCCAACTTTGGGTCTGGATACCTGGTCCAGAATGTGGTATAAAACTTAACTATTTTAGATCACCCTAATATACAACCCAAACTACAGTGTACCCACTAGGGCCTCGACCTTCAGAGAGAAGGGCCAGCTCCAGACAGGTGCCGTCCAGCTTTCAGTTTTTGCTTGCGAGTATTTCACGTGATCTGTGACCTGCCAGTTTCATCATCACTGAGACACACAAGTTCACATAAAACTAAAATATCTCTATTTTTTTCTAACTTGCTGCTTATCCTTCCCACCTAAGCAGCTTGTATCAGAACCCAGCAGATAGTCTGGGCTGATGTATAAGCAGGATTTTAAGAAGTAGAAGGATATTAAAAAGAATCATTCTGTCAAGAGCTGGTTTTGGTTAGACATAGTAATCTGATATTTCGTCTCTTGGCCTAGGTTTTGCTTCCGCTGCTAACCACCTCTTTTTCCCCAGATGAAGAGCTGGGGGCACGTCCTTTTCTATGTTAACTGTCTCCCTGCACCATGGACTGTTGGCAAATTCTAATAATAACAAAAGTCCATGCTTCTTCTCAGATCTGCAGTTCCTTGATATACTGAGATGTGTTTGATAATGAATTGGAAATGCTTTTGTGTTCCTCAGTGTTAAGCCAGCTGTGGCGAGATACTGATTATGGTTCTTTACCTTTATAACGCTCTTTAATTCCAAGAGATCCTGTTTTACCTTCTTCTTGCTCCTCTCCTTTTCTATACGATCTTCAATGATGACCTGTTCATACTCTCTTATCTGCAAAGATAGACATTCATCATTTATTATAGTACTCTCTTGGCTAAGCTGTAGCCCAGCCAGCCCTGCACTTTTAATATAAAATTTCAAAATAAAACATGCTCAATCTAAAGATAAACCAAAGAAAAAAATGTAATAGATTCCTAGATGGTAAATATTCACATATTAACTTTATAATTGTTCCCAAAACTTTTTCAGTTTTAATAATTCAAATTTAAATTCTATCTTTTATAAAAAATGAAATATGAATTAATGTGTGATCAATGATCTCAAAATAATATGGATTGTTTTTTAAACTTTGGGAGAATGTACATACACAAGTAGTCAGCTGTCTTTTTTGTTTGTTTGTTTGTTTTGAGACAGAGTCTCACTCTGTCTGTCACCCAGGCTGGAGTGCAGTGGCGCAGTGTTGGCTCACTGCAACCTCCGCCTTCTGGGTTCAAGTGATTCTTGTGCCTCAGCCTCCTGAATAGCTGGAATTACAGCCACGTGCCACCATGCATGGCTAATTTTTGTATTTTTAGTAGAGATAGGGTTTTGCCATGTTACCCAGGCTGGTCTCAAACTCCTGATCTCTACTGATCTGCTCGCCTCGGCCTCCCAAAGTGCTGGGATTATAGGCGTTAGCCACCATGCCCAGCAGTAGCTGACTTTTGAAAGAAATTTAGGAAGTTCTGCATTTATTCCATAATGAAACCATAATCACAAGCTTGTTAGAAATCATCACTGACTCTCTCCAGAGGTCATAAACTAAGAATAATCACAGTATCTGTCTCAAGGGGCTGTGTGGGTAGCACCTTGGACAGAGTAGGCACTACGTAAGTTAGCTACTGCAGCTGTCCCCGTCAGCAGCAGCAGCATCTAAAAAGAATCCTGGTGGCTTATAAGCGCACCTCTACTTTTGACCCCAAATAGCAATACCCAGCTACTGTGGCCTATTTGCCACTCCTTCCTCGGTGAGCACCCTGATTCCTTCCACTCCCTCCTCAGTGAGTGCCCTAATTCCTTCCACTCCCTCCTCAGTGAGCACCCTAATTCCTTTCACTCTGTCCTCAGTGAGCGCCCTAATTCCTTCCTTACCATCTTTGCCAGGTCTTGAAGGTGTGCTAAGTCACTGGCCTTTGTGGCTTTGAGAGCATTTAGTTCATTCTGTTTCATTTCTGTGTCCTTATCGTATTTCTCCATCCAGAACTCCAGCCTCTCCTCAAGTTTCTATTTGGAAAGAACATGAAAACATGGCATTCAGCAGACACAAAACGCTGTATACTGTATGATTCCACTTATACGAGTTTCAAGATTAAGCAGAACATTCCATAGTGAGAGAAGGCAGAACAGTAGTTACTTACCTGGGTGGAGAGTTGGATTTCTGATTGGGAATGGGGGTGAGGGGGACTTTGGGATGCTGTAAATGTTCTCTGTATCTTTATCCAGGTGGTGGTTACATGAATGTGTATACATAACTGTTCATCAAACTATACACTAAGTACTTACACATTTTACTTGTATGTTAGTGAATTTTAAAATAGGGGGCCAGGCGCGGTGGCTCACGCCTGTAATCCCAGCACTTTGGGAGGCTGAAGTGGGCGGATCACCTGTGGTCAGGAGTTCGAGACCAGTCTGACCAACGTGGAGAAGCCCCGTCTCTACTAAAAATACAAAATTAGCTGGGCATGGTGGCGCATACCTGTAATCCCAGCTACTAGGGAGGCTGAGGCAGGAGAATCACTTGAACCCAGGAGGCGGAGGTTGCGGTAAGCCCAGATCGCGCCATTGCACTCCAGCCTGGGCAATAATAGCAAAACTCCGTCTCAAAAAAAAAAAAAAAAAAAAAAATAGGGGGAGGAGGGTAATCTAGATGTCTGGATAAGGGAAGTTGCAATGAAGAGGAAACAAAAGGTATGTAGAAAAGTCTGAAGGATAAGGAATAGCATCGGATCTCTCTTTGATTGACAGCACTAAATCCTAGTCAAGAAGGATACAATGTATTCAAAATTCTAAAAGAAAATGAATGTAGGGCCGGGCGCAGTGGCTCACGTCTGGAATCCCAGCACTTTGGGAGGCCGAGGTGGGCAGATCACAGAGTCAGGAGATCGAGACCATCCTGGCTAACACGGTGAAACCCTGCCTCTACTAAAACTACAAAAAAAAAAAAAAGCCAGGCATGGTAGCCGGCACCTGTAATCCCAGCTACTCGGGAGGCTGAGGCAGGAGAATCTCTTGAACCCGGGAGACAGAGGTTGCGGTGAGCCAAGATTGCGCCACAGCACTCTAGCCTGGGTGACAGAGTGAGACTCCGTCTCAAAAAAAAAGAAAAAGAAAGAAAAGCAAGTGAATGTGAATCAAAGATTCTACACATAGCCAACCCAGCATTCAAATGTAAAGGAAAGAAAGACTATACTCAATATTTCTGAGAGAGTTATTCAAGGATGTACTACTGTAGCAAAATAAAATGAAAGAGATATATTAAGAAATGGAAGAGAACCAGTAAAACATGTATTTAAGCTATGTGATAGTTTTTAATCATAAATCATAATTCAGAATTAAAATCCCAAAGTAGGCAGGATAGTCTAGTTGAAAGAGCACAACTCTGGCACTGAAAGAAAGTTTACTTAAATTCTCTAAGCTTCTGGTTCCCTCATATATAAAATTCTATACCTAGCCAATAATACAGTATTACTATTACAGTCATAGTACAAACCTCAGAGGGTTGTTGTGATGCTGAAATAATCCTTGTGAAGTCCACCCACAATGCGCATATATATACATAATATCTGCATATATATTATCACTATATATATTTACATATAAAGTGAATGACTTCAACATGGGATGAAGAGCGAGAGAAGAGGTAAGTGAAGTCTCTTTGCCTTAATAAAGGCAAAAGAAGGTATAAACATTGACTAACTCTCGACAGAGAAATTCTAAAAGTATAAAAATATATGTTAACATTTTAAGAGTTGTGCTCACTTCAGTAACATATATACCAAAATTGGAACAATACAGAGATGATTAGCATGGCTCCTGCGCAAGAGTGACACACAGATTCGTGAAGCATTCCATATTTGTGTACTTTCTAGAAACAAAAAATTTAAAGGTTACCCCTAAAAGAACAGAAATGTGTAACTTTCAGACTCGGGGACGATGCACCTCAAGAGTGAAACATTGAGAAGTTCCTTAGGTGGCACATAGCATAGAATTTTTTAAAAACATGGCTATAGTCAATCATTGCGATTACACTGAGCGGGGTGGCTTGTGCCTGTAATCCCAGCAGTTTGGAAGGCAGAGGTGGGAGGACTGCTTGAGGCCAGGAGTTTGAGGCCACCCTGAGCAACATAGTGAGACCCCATCTCTACAAAAATGTTTTTAATTAGCCAGGTGTGGTGGCGCCTGTGGTCCCAGCTACTCAGAGCCGAGGCAGGGTGATTACTTCAGCCCAGGATTTGAGGGTGCAGTGAGCTATGATTACGCCACTGCACTCCAGCCTGGGCAATGGAATGAAACCCAGTCTCTTAAAAAAAAAAATCTGATTATGTTAGAACAACATGTCAGTTTGGTGCTGTCACATCTCTTACATCTTCTCTTTCTTCCTCTTGTTAACACTTAAAAACAAAAACAAACAAACAAAAAAAACAAAGAGGGAACAGGCTCCAGACAGGCAAAAAGGTCTGGCTACAAGGTAATAACATCATTTGGTATTTTTTGCAATTCTATTTACATTATTTTATTTATTTATTTACTTTGAGATAAGGTCTGGATCTGTCACCCAGGCTGGAGTACAATGGCACAATCTTAGTTCACTGCAGCCTCCACCTCCAGGGCTCAAGTCATCCTCCCATCTCAGCCTTCTCAGCAGCTGGGACTACAGGTGTGCAACACCATGTCCGGCTACTTTCTTGTATTTTTTGGTAGTGATGGGGTCTCATTATGTTGCCCAGGCTGATCTCAAACTCCCAAGCGATCCACCCACTTCAGCCTCCCAAATTGCTGGGATTACAAGTGTGAGGCACCATGCCCAGCCTATTTATACTAATTTCTATTTATGGAAGGTGATACTGGTTTTTCCTTTTATAGTAATGATATAAAAATCTTAATTTAAAATGAATTGATTTATCTGTTTAGGTGAGTATTTAGGTAGAAAATATTGACCGGGTGCCGTGGCTCACACTATAATCCCAGCCAGCACTTTGGGAGGCCGAGCAGGTGGATTACTTGAGTCCAGGAGTTTGAGATCAGCCTTGGCAACATGGCAAAACCCCATCGCTACAAAACATAGGAAAATTAGCCAGGCACGGTAGCATGCATTTGTAGTTCCAGCTACTTGGGAGGCTGAGGCAAGAGGATCACTTGAGCCCAGGATGCGGAGGTTGCAGTGAACTGAGATTGCACCATTGCACTCCAGCCTGGGCAACAGAACAAGACCCTGTCTCAAAAAAAAAAAAAAAAAAATTAAGTAATTACTGCAACTGGGATGCATTGTCAGAAAAAAAATGAAAAGTTAAAAAAAAAAAAAAAAGGCTGGGCGCAGTGGCTCACACCTGTAATGCCAGCACTTTGGGAGGCCAAGGCGGGCAGATCACCTGAGGTTGGGAGTTTGAGACCAGCCTGACCAACATGGAGAAACCCCGTCTCTACTAAAATACAAAAAACTAGCTGGGCGTGGCAGCACATGCCTATAATCCCAGCTACTTTGGAGGCTGAGGCAGGAGAAATGCTTGAACCCAGGAGGCGGAGGTTGTGGTGAGCCAAGATCGCACCATTGCACTCCAGCCTGGGCAACAAGAGCAAAACTCCGTTAAAAAAAAAAAATTAATAAGTAACAGGTGGTATACAGATATTACAAAACTATGAGAATGGCATGCAAATAACTAGAGTTTGGCAAAAAATTGAACAACAAAAATTCTATCAATCCAAGAAAAGAAGGAAACAAAATAAAGTATATAAATTAATTACAAACAAATGAAAAATCACAATAAAAGTAAGCTGGGGTAAATCCTTTTGTCTTAGTCCATTCCAGCTGCTATAACAGAATGCCAGAGACTGGGCGGCTCATAAACAAATTGATTTGTCACAGTTCTGGAGGCTGGGAAGTCCCAAATGAAGGCACTGGCAAATCCCGTGTCTGGTGAGTGCCTGCTTCCTAGACTGCCATCTCTGTGCTGTAACTTCACTTGGCGGAATGGGAAAGGGATTTCTCTGAGGTCTCTTTTTTAAGGGCACTAATCTTATTCATTAGAGTTTCACCCTCTATCACCTTGGGAATTTGGATTTCAACATATGGATTTGGGTGATGTAAAAATTGAGCCCACTGTACTACCCTCTGAAAGAAAAACTTCTTTCCCCTTCAAAAAAAATCCAGCTATGAACTACTTAGAGAACTACATGCCCTTGACATGTGGGGATTATTGCAATTCAAGGTGAGATTTGGGTGGGGACACTGAACCGAACCATGTCAGATGGTGTTTTTGTAAAGATCAATAAAATGGTCAAACCTTTAATAAGTTTCAGTAAGAAAAAAGGAAAGAAGACACATCTTTTTAAAAAGTTAATGAAAAATATTTCATTACTACAGAAATAAAGGACTTTTTAAAATTGTAAAAAAAAAACTATACAGTATAGCTTTATGCTAATAAATTTGAAATCAGTGTTTAGATGAAATGGATTATCTTCTAGGAAGACGTAAGTTACAAAAAAGACTCAAAAAGAGATAAAACAACCAGAGCAAAAGGAAAGCAGGTTTGACAATTAATATCTGGCAAAATATAAATCAATCAAGCCAAATATAATTAAGAGAGACAAGGGATATTTTATACTAATAAAAGACAAATTCTAGATATTACAATTATGAACCGCTATATTCTTTTTTTGGTTCTGTTTATTTATATTTGCCTCAGGCCCAAGATAGCTGCTGATGGAACTTTTATGTTGTAATAACATATTTTAGAATATATATAAAGCAAACATTATTAGAAATAATTTCTGTACAAGATATTAACAGATCCACAATCATCTTAGGAAACTATCACACATCTCTGAAATTAATAGGTCAGGTAAGCCAAAATAAGTAACAAAATGAAAAATCTGACAGCTAGACTAATAGACATTTATAAAATATTGTCTGTAACAGAGATTGCACACTGTTTCAAGCACCCATGGAATATTTACATAGTCTGACCATAACCATAAATCCGAATAAGAGCTTGACAAATTCCAACAAGCATAAACCTTTTTTTTTTTTTTTTTTTGAGACAGAGTCTCGCTCTGTCGCCCAGGCTGGAGTGCGGTGGCCCAATCTCTGCTCACTGAAGCTCCGCCTCCCGGGTTCATGCCATTCTCCTGCCTCAGCCTCCCGAGTAGCTGGGACTACAGGCACCCGCCACCACGCCCAGCTAATTTTTTTTTTTTTTTTTGTATTTTTAGTAGAGACGAGCTTTCACCATATTAGCCAGGATGGTCTCGATCTCCTGACCTCGTGATCCACCTGCCTCGGCCTCCCAAAGTGCTGGGATCACAGGCATGAGCCACTGTGCCCAGCCAAGCATAAATCTTACATTTCACATTCTGAGACCACAATGCAAGACAGTAAGAATAGAACCTCCAGTGACGGGGCTGTTGTGAGGAATAGGAAGCCTACGCTCTTCCCTCACCTCCTCCAAGTACCCAGACATTTAAGAAACACCCTTTTAAATAATTCTTGAGTTACAAAGGAAATAACAAATTATAAACTAAAAATCATTTGGAAAGGAATGACAATGTAAGCATTATATATCAGATCCTGTAAATTACAGCCAAATAGTACTCAGAAAATATATTGGTTTACATGCATTTACTAGAAAATAAAAAAGTGAAAATAAATGAATTGAACATTTAGGAAACTAGACAGATTAGCAACATAAACTCAAAGAAAGTGCAAGAAAATTACTCAAAACAAAAACCAGTGTGGTAGAGAAAAAGCAGATTTGCTCAAGAAAAGCAAAAGATGGTGTATTAGTCTGTTCTCATACTGCTGATAAAGGCATATCGGAGACTGGGTAATTTATAAAGGAAAGAGCTTTAACTGACTCACAGTTCAGCATGCCTGGAGAGGCCTCAGGAAACTTACAATCATGGCAGGAGAGAGAACGAGTGCCGAGCGAAGGAGGAAGCCCCTTATAAAACCATCAGATCTTGTGAGAACTCACTCACTATCACGAGAACAGCATGAGGGAAACCAACCCATGATTCAATGATCTCCACCTGGTCTCGCCCTTGACATGTGGGGATCATTACAATTCAAGGTGAGATTTGGGTGGGGACACAGAACCAAACCATATCAGATGGTGTTTTTGTAAAGATCAATAAAATGGTCAAACCTTCAACAAGTTTCAGTAAGAAAAAAGGAAAGAAGGCACATCTTTTTAAAAAGTTAATGAAAATGATTTCATTACTACAGAAATAAAGGACTTTTTAAAATTGTAAAAAAAACTATAGGGCATAGCTTTATGCTAATAAATTTGAAATCAGTGTTTAGATGAAACAGATTATTTTCTAGGGAGACGTAAGTTACAAAAAAGACTCATAAAGAGATAAAAGATCAATAATCCTTTTTTTACAGTTGAAAAGGTAGCCAAATAGCTCCAATTAAATATAACCAGACAAAATTGTTTATGATTGAATTTTATCAAGCTTCAAGGAATAGATAATGTTTTCACTGAAGAAGGCATTAGCTAAAAAATAAAATCATAATAATAATCTGGTTTGTTTTCTGTTTTTATGTTTCAGAGCATAAAAAGATGGAAAGCTTCCAATTCACGCTGCCAAGCATAACTCTGACAGCAATTCAACAAAGCAGCACCAAAAAATACACCTACAGGTTAATCTCACTTGTGGAATATATAAACACAAAGTAAAAGTCTAGGCTGGCTGTGGCGGCAGGTACCTAGAATCCCAGCTCCTTGGAGGCTGAGGTGGGAGGATTGCTTGAGCCCAGGAGTTTAAGACCAGCCTGGGCAACACAGTGAGAACCCCTGTCTCAAAGAAAAATTTTAAAAATCCATGGTATTGATCTTGTGTTTACCCAAGAATGCCACAAGACAACACAAAATAAGGGAGAGATAAGATATCAAAAGGAAAAAAAGAAAAATGAAAATCAGTAGAAAGAAAATGCAGCAGAGGCTGTGCAGAGTGAGAGGGCGAAATAGAAGCCTCCACTGATAGTTCCCCCCACCACCCAGAAACACTAAATTTGACAACTATCTGTACAAAAAAGCACCTTCATAAGAACCAAAAATCAGGTAAGCAATCGCAGTACCTGGTTTTAACTTCGTTTTGCTGAAAGAGGCACTGAAGAGGGTAGGAAAGACGGCTTTGAATTGCTGACGACACTCTCCACCCCCTGGCAGCAGCCACACGGCACGGGTAGGATCTGAGCAGCTGTGGGAGGGCGGGCGCGGCACCTGAGATGTGCATTGAACTCAGTGCTGCCGTCACAGTGGAAAAAGCAAAACCGGGTTGAACTCGGGTGACGCCCACCCATGGAGGGAGCACTGAGACCAGCCCCAGCCAGAGGAGAACCGCCCAGCCTAGCAGTGGGACCCGAGTCCCAGCAAGCCTCAGCATCTCGGGCTACGCCGCTCTGGGGTCCTCAATACACTTGAAAGGCGGTCTAGGCCAGGAGGACTACGACCCTCTACAACCCTTACGCAAGCCCTGGTCCTGGTGCCTGTGGACTTGGGGGACTTGGACCTAGTGAGACACCAGCCATGGTGGTTAAGGGAGTGCTTGTGTCACCCATCCCCCAACCTCAGGCAGTGCAGCCTCTAAAAGAGATTTCCCCTTCTTCTGTTTGAGGAGAGGGAAGAGTACAGAGGACTTTGTCTTGCATCTTGGATACCAGCTCAGCCACAGCAGAATAGAGCACTGGGCAGAGGACACCAGCTCAGCCACAGCAGAACAAGGCACTGGGCAGAGGATAGCAGCTCAGCCACAGCAGAACAGGGCACTCAGCAGAGGACACCAGCTCAGCCACAGCAGAACAAGGCTCTGGGCAGAGGATACCAGCTCAGCCACAGCAGAACAGGGCACTCGGCAGAGGATACCAGCTCAGCCACAGTAGAATAGGGCACTGGGCAGAGGATACCAGCTCAGCCACAGCAGAACAAGGCTCTGGGCAGAGGATACCAGCTCAGCCGCAGTAGAATAGGGCACTGGGCAGAGGATACCAGCTCAGCCACAGCAGAATAGGGCTCTGGGCAGAGTCATGAGGCCCCCACTCCAGGCCTTAGCTCCTGGGTGGCCTTCCTAGACACACCTTGGGCCAGAAGGGAACCCACTGCCTTGTAGGGGAGGGCCCAGTCCTGGCAGGATTCATCATCTACTGACGAAAGAGCCCCCGGGCCCTGAATAACCAGCAGGGGTCCACAGGGGTACACCATGGGCCTTGGGTGAGACTCTTGAGATGTGCTGCCTTCGAAGACATGGTAGTGGCTATGGTGAGAGACTCCTGCTTGAGAAAAGCAGAGGAAAAAGTAAAAGGGGACTCTGTCTTACACCCTAGGTACCACCTCAACTATAATGGGGTAGAGTACCAAGAGGCTCTTGGAGTCCCCAGTTCAGGCCTTGACTCTTTTTTTTGAGATGGAGTCTCACTCTGTTACCCAGGCTGGAGTGCAGTGGCACGATCTTGGCTCACTGCAACCTCCACCTCTGGGGTTCAAGCGAGTCTCCTGCCTCAGCCTCCAAGTAGCTGGCATTACAGGCACTTGCCACCATGCCCGGCTAATGTCTGTATTTTTAGTAGAGACCAGGTTTCACCATGTTAGCCAGGTTGGTCTCAAACTCACGACCCCAGGTGATCCACCCCTCTCAGCCTCTCAAAGCGCTGGGATTATAGGCATGAGCCACCGCCCCCGGCCCAAGGCCTTGACTCTTGGATGGCATTTCTGGTCCTGTTCTGGGCAAGAGGGTAGCCCACTCCCCTGAAGAGTAAGTCCCAGGCCTGGCAGCATTCACCACAAACTGACTGGAGAGTCCTTGGGCCTTAGCTGAACATCAGCAGTAGCCTGGCGGCACTCTCCATGGGCCTGTGGTAGTAGTGGCCATGAGCAGCGGCTCCTCCGCATGTGGAAAGCAGATGGAAGAGGAGGAAGGACTTTGTCTTGTGGCTTGAAGGCCAGCTTAGCTGCAGGAGTTTAGAGCATAAGGTAGACTTCTAAGGTTTTTGACTCCAGCTCTTGGCTCCCAGACAGCATCTCTGGACCCGCCCAGGGCCTGGGGGGACTGGCCACTCTGAAGGGAAGGATACAAGCCTGGCTGATTTCGCCACCTGCTGATTGTAGAGTCCTAGGGCCTTGAGTGAACATAGGTGGTAGCCAGGTAGTGGTTACAGCCTTGGGTGAGACCAGGTGCTGTGCTGGCTTCAGGTATGACCTAGCACAGTCCCAGTGGTGGTGGTCACCAGGGGGCTTGTGTCACCCCATTCTCAGCTCCAGGTAGCTCAGCAAAGAGTTAGAGACTCTGGGAGAAAGTAAGGAAAAAGAACAAGAGTCTCTCCCTGGCAATCCAGAAAATTCTTCTGGATCTTATTTAAGACCACCAAGGTGATACCTCTACATGTCTGCATGAACCACAGAATTAGGGGCTTGGAGTGTTCCCTAATGAGGTACGGCTTAGACCACAACACTCAAGTCCCTTCGTATGCCTAGAAAGCCTTTGCAAGAAGGATGAGTACAAATAAACCCAGACTGCAAGGACTACAATGAATACGTAATTCGTCAATGCCCATATACCGATGAACATCCAGAAGCATCAAGACCATTCAGGAAAACATGACCTCACCAAACAAATGAAATAAAGCACCAGGGACTAATCGTGGAGAAACAAAGATATGTGACGTTTTAGACAGAGAATTCAAAATAGCCATTTTGAGGAAACTCAAAGAAATTCAAGATAACACAGAGAAACAATTCAGAAATCTATCAGATAAACTTAACAGAGATTGAAATAATTAAAAAGAAGCAGAAACTCTTGAGTTGAAAAATGCAATTGACATATTGAAGAAGGCATCAGAGTCTCAAGAGCAGAAGTGATCAAGCAGAAGAAGGACTTCGTGAGCCTGAAGACAGGCTATTTGAAAATACACAGGAAAGACAAAAGAAAAAAGGATAAAAGAAATGGAAAGATATTCCATGTTCATGGATTGGAAGAATCAATATTGTTAAAATGTACATTACTACCCAAAGCAATCCACAGATTCAATGCACTCCCTATCAAAATACCAATGACATTCTTCACAGCAATAGAAAAACAATCCTAAAATTTATATGGAACCACAAAAGACCCAGAATAGCCAAAGCTATCCTGAGTAAAAATAAACTGGAAGAATCACATTACCTGATTTGAAATTATACTATAGAGCTATAGTAACCAAAACAGCATGGTACTGGAATAAAAACAGACACATAGACCAATGGAACAGAATAGAGAACCCAGAAGCAAATCAATAAATCTACACTGAATTCATTTTTGACAAAGGTACCAAGAACAAACACTGGGGAAAGGATAGTCCTTTCAATGAATGGTGCTGGGAAAACTGAATATCCATATGCAGAAGAATGAAACTAGACTAGACAGCTATCTCTCACCATTTACAAAAATCAAATCAAAATTGGTTAAAGAGTTAAACTTAAGACCTCAAACTATGAAACTACTAAAAGAAAACACTGGGGAAACTCTCCAGGACATTGGACTGGGCAAAGATTTCTTGAGTAATACCCCACAAGCACGAGCAACCAAAGCAAAAATGAACAAATGGATCATATCAAGTTAAAAAGCTTCTGCACAGGCCAGGTGTGGTGGCTCACACCTGTAATCCCAGCACTATGGGAGGCTGAGGCAGGTGGATCACTTGAGGCCAGGACTTCAAGGCCAGAGGTGAAACCCCACCTCTACTAAAAATACAAAAATTAGCCGGGCATGGCAGTGCACTCCTGTAGTCCCAGCTACTTGGGAGGCTGAGGCACGAGAATCTCTTGAACCCAGGAGGCGGAGGTCGCAGTGAGCCAAGATTGTGCCACTACACTCCAGCTTGGGCGAGAGAGCAAGACTCTGTCTCAATAAATAAATATATAAAATATAAAAGGCTTCTGCATAGCAAACAAAACAATTAAAGTGAAAAGACAACCCAAAGAACTGGAGAAAATATTTGCAAACTACCTATATGACAAGGGTTTAATAAACAGAATATATGAAGAGCTCAAACAAGTCTATAGGAAAAAATCTAATAATGTGAAAAATGGGCCAAAAGGGCCGAGTGTAGTCACTCACACCTATAATCCCAGCACTTTGGGAGGCCTAGGCTGGAGGAATGCTTGAGCTCGGAGTTCAAGGCCCGCCTGGGCAACAATAGTGAGATCTTGTCTCTCTCTCTCTCTATGTGTATAACATATACATACATACATACACACACACATATATATATACATACATATATATATACATACATATATATATACATACATATATATACATACATATATATATATACATACATATATATATACATACATATATATATATATATATATATATTTTTTTTTTTAAAGGGCCAAAGATCTGAATAGGCATTTCTGAAAAGAAGACACACAAACACCAAACAGACATATAGAAAGGTGCTCAGCATCACAGATCATCGGAGAAATGCAAATCAAAACTACGAGACATCATCTCGCCCCAGTTAAAATGGTGTGTATCTAAAAGACAGGCAATAATGAATGCTAGCAAGGCTGTGGAGAAAAAGGAATCCTGGTACGGTATTGGTTGGTGGAAATGTAAATTAGCACAACCACTATGGAGAACAGTTTGGAGGATCTTCAAAAAACTAAAAATAGAGCTACCATATGATCCAGCAATTCCACTGCTAGGTATATACCCAAAAGAAAGGAAATTAGATGTGGAAGAGATGTCTGCACTCCTATGTTTATTGCAGCACTGTTCACAATAGCCAAGATTTGGAAGCAATGTAAGTGTCTACCAACAGACGAACGGATAAAGAAAAGGTGGGGCCGGGCGTGGTGGCTCATGCCTGTAATCCCAGCACTTTGGGAGGCCGAGGCAGATCACCTGAGGTCAGAAGTTTGAGAACAGCCTGGCCAATATGGAGAAACCCCATCTTTACTAAAATACAAAAATTAGCTGGGCGTGGTGGCGCACACCTGTAGTCCCAGCTACTCGGGAGGCTGAGGCAGGAGAATTGCTTGAACCTGGGAGGCAGAGATTGCAGTGAGCCAAGATTGTGGGCAACAGAGCAAGACTCCCTCTCAAAAAGGAGTAAATAAATAAATAAATTTAAAAAGGTGGGACATATAAACAATGGCGTACTATTCGGCCCAGAATGAGATTGTGTCATTTGCAACAATATAGATGGAACTGAGGTCATTATGTTAAGTGAAATAAACCAGGCAGGGGAAGACAAACTTCACATGTTCTTCTTTGTGAGAGCTAAAAATTAAAACAATTGAACTCATGGAGGTCGAGAGTAGAAGGGTGGTTACCAGAAGCTGGGAAGGTAGTGGGGGATGCGGAGGGTGTGGGGATGGTTAATGTGTACAAAAAAGTAGAAAGAATGAATAAGACCCAGCATTTGGTAGCAAAACAGGGCGACCATAGTCAATAATTTAATTGTAAATTTAAAAAGAACCAAACGCGTGTAATGAGATCATTTGTAGCACAAAGGATAAAGGCTCAAGGTGATGGAGACCCCAATTCCCCTGATGTGACTCCCACGTGTCACACGCCTGTATCAAAGTACGTCATGCACTCCATAAGTATATACACCTACTATGTGCCCACAAAAATTAAAAATTAGAAAAAGAAAAGAGTTTAAAATAGAAACAATTTTAAGTCTATAAATCAGTTTTTCAGCAGTCTATTAAAGGAATAACAGGCCGGGTGTGATGGCTCACACCTGTAATCTCAGCACTTCGGGAGGCTGAGGCGGGTGGATCACCTGAGGTCAGGAGTTTGAGACCAGCCTGACCAACATAAGAAACCCTGTCTCCACTAAAAAAAATACAAAATTACCCAGGCATGGTGGCAGGCGCCTGTAATCCCAGCTACTCGGGAGGCTGAGGCAGGAGAATCACTTGAACTCGGGAGGCGGAGGCTGCGGTGAGCTGAGATCGTGCCACTGGGCAACAAGAACAAAATTCCAATCTCAGAAGAAAAAAAAAAGGAATAACACATTATGATCGAGTAAGGTTTATCCCAAGAATTTGAAGATGACTCAACATCAGCAAGTCTATTAATGTATTTCCCTTTATTAACATATTAAAGAAGAGAAAACAATATCATCTCAATTAATGAAAAAAAAATCCATCTCAAAATTGAGTACTCATCCTGATGAGAAGAAAAACTTTTAACAAGAAAAAAAGATACTTCCTGAAGTTGATAAAGCTTGTCTACCAGAAACCTACAGAGTAAATCTCACAGTTGATGATTAAAAAAAAAAAAACTCATTTGTGGCAGTTACCAATTTACTGCCTGTCAGCTCCAAATCCACCTCTTTGCTTTGTGAAAGTGGATGCTTGCTGTGAACGTTTTTCTTGCCAGCTGACAAAATGCTAAGCTGTGTCAGTAGAGGGCGCTGGAGGCACACGACAGGAGGGCGTCTCACTGTCCGGTCACCAGAGTGCGGCTGCCAGCGGTATGTGGGTGGGACACCCGGCCGCACTTGTCCACCCACACGTTTTACTGAGACCGCGCAGGAGGATTCCTGCTGGCCAAACACGTTATGACCTAGTAGGGTTTATCCCAGGAATTTAAAGATGACTCAAATCAGCAACTCTCTCAATGTATTCTACTTTATTAACATATTAAAGGAGAAAAAATAACTCAATGGACAAAAAAACTGTTTTTCTTTTTTTTTTTTCCCTAATTGAGTACGCATCCAGATTAGGAAAACAAAACAAAACAACAAAAAAAACTTTTAGTAAGGTATCTGTCACCTAACCACCATTAATCTCCCATTTTGACTAGTGGCCACGCTGTCACTTTGGGTCCCCGTGCATGAACATCAATTCAGAGCCAATGCTTCAGTCATCTCAGAAGGCCTGGGTAGTTTGCTTTCCCCAGTGCACAGTCACTCTGTAAATAGCACAGGTCTTCTGAGTAGGGCCTAGAGGGAGACTTACAGTAGGTACTTGCAGCAGGGCTGCAGAGTTCATTCTTTGGGGGAAATCCCCCCACACCCTCACACCCCAGTTCATAAAGGGGCCCTGGGGCTGTGAACTGACTCAGTCCTAAGAGCTAGGGGAGAGGCCGTGACTCTCTGCTGTGGTGATTCAAATCAGGTTTCTGGCTACCAGACCCAGAATTTTTTTCTGTTATACTTGAGTAGGCAGCCCAACAATTTTGTTCCTAGAGATACCATCATTCATTAGCCATTGCCAAGAATCCCAGTGGCCAAAGGCATTCTGATTACATCTCTGCCGCCCTTCGTGGTAAATGTGCCCACCTTATCTCTGACAATTAAGTGCTCCCAATTATCCGGAGGCACTTCAGGATCCCATCACCCCACTGATACCAGGAAGCTCATCTCAATGACAACATCCTTAGGGTCACACCTGCCTATGTAGGAAAGCAAGCACAGAGCTTTTAGAGAGGCAGATGCTCCCCTCACTATTCTATTTCTCAATGTCTTAGTAAAGAAGTGTCTTCTGGGCCTTCTCATGGTTAGGAATGGGTGCTTGGTGGTAGACGTGTAAGTCACACATGATAAATCCACTGTGACATTCCTGTCTCCCTACATCTTTGGATTCTCTCCCCCAAATCATAGCAGGGAAGCTCTGACATCTCCACCTCATCAAATGTAGGCAAATGTTGAGTCACCTCCTGCTGCTCAAGCTAAACCATGAAATCCAGACTCTCTGGTAAGTGCATCTATATCAATGAATTAAACAAATGGAGTGTGATAGCCTACCCTGTTGGATCTAACACTCTTAGAATCAACTCGACATGTTTCCCAGGTTTCTTCCAATATTTATTAGCAAAATCTTACCATTCTTTTGGTGTGTAAGTGATTTCCTTCTGAGTTAGTTATCTGAGTTTTATGTCCCACTGTAACATGCTAAGATTTGACCCTAGTTATGGATCCAGTGACAACAGGGGTGACTGTACCAGGTCTGAAGAGTGAGCCGTTTCCAAGGCATCCTCCCAGATGAAGTTATCACAGGGGTGACTGTACCAGGTCTGAAGAGCAACCCTTTCCAAGGCATCCTCCCAGATGAAGTTATCACAGGGGTGACTGTACCAGGTCTGAAGAGCAACCCTTTCCAAGGCACCCTCCCAGATGAAGTTATCACAGGGGTGACTGTACCACGTCTGAAGAGTGACCCCTTTCCCAGGCATCCTCCCAGATGAAGTTATCACAGGGGTGACTGTACCAGGTCTGAAGAGCAACCCTTTCCCAGGCATCCTCCCAGATGAAGTTATCACAGGGGTGGTGACTGTACCAGGTGTGAAGAGCGAGCAACCCTTTCCAAGGCATCCTCCCAGATGAAGTTATCACAGGGGTGACTGTACCAGGTCTGAACAGTGAGCCCTTTCCAAGGCATCCTCCCAGATGAAGTTATCACAGGGGTGACTGTACCAGGTCTGAAGAGCGATCCCTTTCCAAGGCACCCTCCCAGATGAAGTTATCACAGGGGTGAATGTACCAGGTCTGAAGAGTGACCCCTTTCCCAGGCATCCTCCCAGATGAAGTTATCACAGGGGTGACTGTACCAGGTCTGAAGAGCAACCCTTTCCAAGGCATCCTCCCAGATGAAGTTATCACAGGGGTGACTGTACCACGTCTGAAGAGTGACCCCTTTCCCAGGCATCCTCCCAGATGAAGTTATCACAGGGGTGACTGTACCAGGTCTGAAGAGCAACCCTTTCCAAGGCACCCTCCCAGATGAAGTTATCACAGGGGTGACTGTACCACGTCTGAAGAGTGACCCCTTTCCCAGGCATCCTCCCAGATGAAGTTATCACAGGGGTGACTGTACCAGGTCTGAAGAGCAAGCAACCCTTTCCAAGGCACCCTCCCAGATGAAGTTATCACAGGGGTGGTGACTGTACCAGGTCTGAAGAGCAACCCTTTCCAAGGCACCCTCCCAGATGAAGTTATCACAGGGGTGGTGACTGTACCAGGTCTGAAGAGCGAGCAACCCTTTCCCAGGCATCCTCCCAGATGAAGTCATCACAGGGGTGGTGACTGTACCAGGTCTGAAGAGTGACCCCTTTCCCAGGCATCCTCCCAGATGAAGTTATCACAGGGGTGACTGTACCAGGTCTGAAGAGCAAGCAACCCTTTCCAAGGCACCCTCCCAGATGAAGTTATCACAGGGGTGACTGTACCAGGTCTGAAGAGCGAGCAACCCTTTCCAAGGCATCCTCCCAGATGAAGTTATCACAGGATCTTCAGGCAAAGGAAGTGCGGTGTCCTCAGACACAGGAGGGCAGGGTACTTCCGCTGCCAAGGGAGCTTTAAAGTGATTTGCCAGTTTCATCCGAATCTGAGCAGGTGTTCTCATTCCAAGTTTCAGGGTCCTGTTCTTTCCCTGTGAGTGCTCTAACTTGCATATCAGTAACTTGGCATGACTATGACAAACTCATGTGTAATCCTGACTAAAACACCAGAACAGTGGTGTTGTATTAACAACCAATAATAGAAAAAGGATTCCCCATTGTCACTACTACAACCAACAAGTACACTGGACTTTCTAGCTAGACAACAAGCCATGAAATGAAAACAGACATATAAATAATAAAAAGGATAATATAAAATTGTTATTTGCATGCAGTAAGATTTTCCACCTAGGAAATCCAAATGAATCCACTGAAAAACCATTAGAGGGTTTAACAAATCCACAGCAATACACAAAAGAAATACCTTTCCACATACCATACACTTAGAGACAGAACCAAGAAGGTTTCGCAATGTTATCACAGAAAAACCTGGAAACAACCTAAATCTACTGACAGAATGGTTCACTAAATTTCAGTATATTCTGAGTGTGAGATATATTCTATCAATCAGCTGTACTGCTACAGAAAACATTAAAAACAAAGTAAATGTAAGAAGAAAACAACAGGCTCTGGAACACTATATATAGCATGATCCAATTTACTTAAGAAACAAATACTAGGCCGGGTGCAGTGGCTCATGCCTGTAATCCCAGCACTTTGGGAGGCTGAGGCCAGCAGATCACTTGAGGGCAGGAGTTCAAGACCAGCCTGACCAACATGGTGAAACCCCATCTCTACCAAAAATACAAAAATTAGCCAGGTGTGGTGGCAGGTGCATGTAATCCCAGCTACTCGGGAGGCTGGCAGGAGAATCACTTGAACCTGGAGGCAGAGGTTGCAGTGAGCCGAGATCGCGCCATTGCACTCCAGCCTGGGCAACAGAGCAAGACTCCTCTCAAAAACAAAACAAAACAAAAAACCACCACTGAGAATAGGTATGTTTTTAGGTATAAGTATGTATATGAAAAGAAATACATGTGGAAGAAACTTCCCTTCAGAAAGGGGAGTAATTTAAGAGGGCTTTCACTTTCTTTAACCTATGTATTTCTGTCTGAAATTGTAGCTGGACGTGGTGGTGCACACCTGTAGTCCCAGCTACTCAGGAGGCTGAGGTGGGAGGATCACTTGGGCCCAGGAGTTTGAGGCTGCAGTGAGCTATGGTGGCACCACTGCACTGAAGCCTGGGAAACAGAGAGAGACCCTGTCCCTAAAAAATAAAAAATAAAAAAATATATACTTATGTATTGCTTGTGTTATTGGGCTGAAGATCTGGGAAACTCTGGCGTCATCCCTTCGTGATCCATTTATCTACCAACTCACTGATAAATATCCAACACCTGCCAGGTATCTCACACTTGAAACAGGTAACATGATACATAATTCTTAAAGTGCAGGGCTACAGAACCCTAATTCTAATAGCCTACCAGGTATTTTTTTCAGTAAAGACCTGCAAGAGAGCATCTACAAATTCTCCTCTTTAACCACACATTTGGAATCCTTGACTGAAAACTCATTAGCTTTTTCCAAAGGCAAGCTGTATTATAACTAAGCTGGAAAATTTTCTCTTTATTCATCCAATAGGGTTATTTTGAAAGACTCCAGCTGGGGCTGGGCACGGTGGCTCACGCCTGTAATCCCAGCACTTTGGGAGGCCGAGGCAGGTGGATTACCTGAGGTCAGGAGTTCTAGACCAGCCTGGTCAACACAGTGAAACCCCATCTCTACTAAAAATACAAAAATTAGCTGGACGTGCGCCTGTAATCCCAGCTACTCAGGAGGCTGAGGCAGGCGAATCGCTTGAGCCCAGGAGGCCGAGGTTGCAGTGAGCCAAGATCACGCCACTGCACTCCAGCCTGGGCAGTAAAGCAAGACTGCATCTCAAAAACAAAACAAAAAAAAAAAAAAAAAGAAAGAAAGACTCCAGGTAGACTTAGACATAATTCTAACCTTAGATATATTATAGACCCAGCTTGGTTATTAGTATTGAAAATGCTCTTAAAACCACCGTGTCATATATATTTCACACAAGAAGAAATAAATTGAGTAAACATGTGGAAAAATGTTATGTTCACCTGTTAATAAGCAAAAATAAAAAATAAAACAACTCATTAAATTAGCAGACTTTGAAAAATATTGAAAATGGCTACTAATATTGAAGAGACCTTGAAATTACTGCCTGCAACACTGCTAACGGCAGCACAGATTCGAGAGTATTAGCAATGTTTATTAAAAGTCACAAAATACTAGTCTCTGAAACAAAAATCTCATGACTGAGATTGGCTTTTAGTAAATAGTTGCCATGAAGAAAAACAGTTCTTTGGGCAAAGCTTTAATGAGTGCATTATTTATAATAACAAACTTTAGAAACAACCTAAATATAAAAAAAAAGTGTAACAAATAAACTGTGGCACAACCATTCAATGGAACGTTAAACACAATTTTCAATTATTTTATAAAGAAACTGTAATAACATAAAAAATGAAAAGCAATGAGTAATTTTAAAAATCTTCACTCAACTGGGAATGTTATTTTTATAGTGTAAAAGATTAGTAAATTTTTTTTTTTTTGAGACAGATTCTTGCTCTGTTGCCCAGGCTGGAGTGAGTGGCATGATCTCGGCTCACTGTAACCTCTGCCTCCTGGGTTCAAGCGATTCTATTGCCTCAGCCTTCTGAGTAGCTGGGATTACAGGCGCCCGCCACCATGCCTGGCTAATTTTTGTATTTTTAGTAGAGACGGGGTTTCTCCATGTTGGCCAGGCTGGTCTCGAACTCCTGACCTCAGGTGATCCGCTGGCCTCTGCCTCCCAAAGTGCTGGGATTACAGGCGTGAGCCACCATGTCCGGCCTTTATTTATTTTTCTTTTTTATTTATTGGCCACTATACTATTGGGAAAAATTTTTAAATATAGTCATAATTTAAAAATAATTAATTTAAAAATTATGTCTTTTTTTGGTTTTTGTTTTTGAGACGGGGTCTCGCTCTGTTGCCTAGGCTGGAGTACGGTGGCGTGATCTCAGCTCACTGCATCCTCTGCCTCCCAGGTTCAAGCAATTCTCCCACCTCAGCCTCCTGAATAGCTGGGATTACAGGCGCACCACCATGCCCGGCTAATTTTTGTATTTTTTAATAGAAACAGGGTTTCACCATATTGGTCAGGCTGGTCCCAAACTCCTGAACTCAGGTGATCCACCCTCCCCGGCCTCCCAAAGTGCTGGGATGACAGGCGTGAGCCACTGTGCCCAGCCCATAAATTTGTAGGTCATAATTTGACTTAATAAATTTTAAGTCATAAATTAAGTCATAATTTGAAAATTATGAGTATACAGCAATATAGAAATCGAAAAATTTCTTATGTAAGCTCAATGATAAAAGCAGAAAACAAAATTTTACCTGCACTCTCTCAAATTACAGCTATATAAGATATCTATTCAGATGCATAACCCTGAAAGAAAACATGAGCTAAAGTTCATTAGGCTGAAAGAATGATGGTTGGTTTTCCTTCAAAATATTCTTTTTGTTTCCTCAGTATAAGCAGAGTACAAAAAAAAAGTCAAAGCATAGAAAAGCTGTGGGGACCCACCTGCTGCTCCTTTCTAAGGAACATTTCAATCTCTGTATGAGTCCGGGCCTCTTCTTCGGTTTTCATCCTGAGTTTCTGTAAGAACAATCAGATACCAGTACGTCTTCCCCGCAGGGCTGGGAATCAGAAGTTCTCAAGATGAGAGCAGCAGCTCGGTCGGTAGCTGAGGCTCCCTTTACCAGCTGGGATCCCGGGCTTTCAGTTCCCTGCAACTCCTGTTCACCAACACTGCAGAGCCACGTGGCGCGGCACTGTGTGGACTGCGTGTGTCCCTAACGAGACGAGCACAATCCCGTGAGCTGAACAGAGGTGCCCACTGAAGGACAGAAACGGCGCTCCAAGGGCACAAGGCTGTGGGGCTTAAAAAGGGGGATTCCGGAGTGCCAGGAAGAGTGTTGACGTGGCCTTGAGCCACGTCAGTCTCAGAGCGAGGAGTCCTCCCACACACAGATTCCACGGCCCAAGGACGTTTGTTCCTGCTTCCCTCTTCCCATCTGCCTGCTGCTCTTTCTTGTTTTCTTTTCTTTTTTGTGAGAAGGGAGTCTCCCTAGTTGAAGTCTGAAGTTGCCCAGGCTGGCTTCAAACTCAAGGATCCTCCTGCCTCACTGCCTCACCTCCGATTAGCTGGGACTAGTGCCTGGCTTTGCGTGTGTGCGTGCGTGCGTGCGTGCGTGTGTGCGTGCGTGCGTGTGTGCCATTTAGCATTCCCCTCAAAGAAGATCTACCACTTCTTTCTTCCTCCTGGCATTTTTCACCGTGACTTCTCATCCTATAAACTCAGGTTTGAACGAAGTTCAGCGCTCTCGATGCTGTATTTCTTACTGGAGGAGTGAAAGGTACTGGTTAGATGAAAGAAACAGCAGCAAAATCCTGCCATAACTAAGCACCTCGTTTTGCCCTCTCCCTATAATTAGTCAGAAAAATGGTGATTGGTTTGCCAAAATAAGAAGTGACCAAGGAGAGAAAGTGCAGCCAATTTTCAAAGTCATTATGAGGCGGGAGATGGAGGCTACAGCCCACTGGAATCTCTGCTTGCGAACACGCATATCCTCATTTAGGCTTTTATTTTCAACCTCAAGTGGAGGGGCTGTTGCCGATAGAGATGGAGGGAAATCTTTGTCTCCCTCCTTTGTTAGCTGAGAGGGGATCAGGAGTGACAGCTCAATTGCCATCTCCTGGGTTCTTGGCTAATGTCCCAGGGATTACCTCAATCTCTTCCACCAAGAGTTCCTCTGTTCTGTTACACTTTTTCTGGGTCTGGGCAATCTGCAGCTCGGTATTGGTTTTCATGTAGCGATTCTCCAAGTTGGATTTTGCCTTCATCTCTTGCAGTTGGTCCTTGAGGTTAGCAATATACTCATTCTGACTCTGTAGTGGAAAGACCAGGTTTCTAAATTGAAAATACATTCTACCTCCATTCAGTTCAGTCAGCGGCTTACGGTTCCCTTTTATGCGTATAAATCAATAAGGAACTGGAACTATTTTTCCGCTGTCACACAATGGGAAATTTAGCCAACAATCATGAAGTGTATAGATGAAAGTGAGTAACACAGCATTTCTAAGAATCAGGGCGCATCAGGGCTGTGAGATTAGTTCCCAGGCACATTATTGCTGTACTCCGTATGTCCCACACAGCTTTCTCATTTTGGTAGGAAGAACACTGGTCAAAATGATCAAAAGAACTGACTTCCCACCCAGGCCTCCAGCTGTGTGAACTTGGCCAAGTCAAATCTCCAACTTTTTACTTTCTATAAAACAAACACACAAACATACAAACACCCAACCTGCCTGAAGTATCTCAGAGAGTGATTATTAGGTTTCCTTGAGAACACGTGTGAAAACGCTTTCTTTTTGCAGGTCACCAAGTGCTTGGCAATTGTGAGGACTCAATAGTCATTAAGAAAAATATTTATTCAGCACCAGGCACTGAGCTAGGAAAATTGTGGAGATCTAAACAGACATATTCCCTTCCCTCATAGAGCTTACAGTCTAATAGAAGAGAGGTGGTTAAAAAGAGACAAACACATGTGTAAACTTCCAAAAATTGTGCAAAATGATAGAAAAGGAAGGCTCGAGAGGCTGTGGGAGGAAATAACAAGGGAGGAGTACATTAGACTCTGGAAGGTCTGAGAAGGACTCTCTCGGGAAAGCGATGGCTCATTCGATACCTGAAGGACAGGTAAGCCCACCACATGAAAAATAGGCTTGGCCAGGCACGGGGGCTCACGCCTGTAATCCCAGCACTTTGGGAGGCTGAGGCATGGCGACCAGCTGAGGTCAGCAGTTTGAGACCAGCCTGGCCAACATGGTGAAACCCCGTCTCTACTAAAAATACGAAAAATAGCTGGGAGTGGTGGCGGGCGCCTGTAATCCCAGCTACTCGGGAGGCTGAGGCAGAAGAATCACTTGAACCCGGGAGGTGGAGGTTGAAGTGAGCTGAGATCATGCCACTGCAGTCCAGCCTGGGTGATAGAGCGAGATTCTGTCTCAAAAAAAAAAAAAAAAAAGAAAAGAAAAAGAAAAAAAGGAAAGAAAAAGAAAAGAAAAATAGGGTTAAGGGAACTCTAAAAAAAAAAAAAAGAATAAGTATATGCCCAAATCCTGAAGCAATCAAGACCTGGATACATTCCAGGAACTGAAAGAAAGCTCCGGAGGCTCTAGCCTAGTGAGGGTTGAGGGGAGGACAGGATGAGGTTGGAGGTCGGTAAGGGCACCACACAGGACCCCGGAGACCCAACTGAGAAATTCAGATTTTATTCCAACTGTCATGGGAATCCTTGGAAAGCTTTTAGTCAGGGAGGTAACATTTGTTTGAAAAGAACTGTTTGGGCGGAATCAGTGTGTGAGTAAGTCCACAGGGAGGGGACCTGACGGCACAGCAAACAAGCACACGACTAGCAACAAAAGTGCTTCAACCCGAGACCTGCTCCTCTAGATACCAACCGCCTTTCTTCTCTTTTTACATTTTTTTTGAGATGGAGGCTCGCTCTTGTTGCCCAGGCTGGAGTGTAGTGGCATGATCTTGGCTTACTGCAAGCTCCACCTCCCAGGTTCAAGTGATCCTCCTGCCTCAGCCTTCTGAGTAGCTGGGATTACAGGTGCTCACCACCACACCCAGCTAATTTTGTATTTTTAGTAGAGATGGGGTTTCTCTACATTGGTCAGGATGGTCTTGATCTCCCGACCTCAGGTGATCCACCTGCCTCGGTCTCCCAAAGTGCTGGGATTACAGGCGTGAGCCACCACGCCTGGCCTCCAATTGCCTTTCGTCTTAACCATGTAAGTAGGGTAGAATTAGTTCTTTTGTATTAAAAAAATTTTTTTGTTTAGAGACAGGATCTCCCTCTGTCACTCAGGCTGGAGTGTAGTGGCTCGATCACAGCTCACTATAACCTCCAATTCCTGGGCTCAAGCCATCTTCCCAAGTAGCTAGTACTACAGGTGCATGTCACCATGCCTGGCTAACTTTTTAATATTTTTAGAGATGGGGGTCTCACTCTGTTGCCCAGGCTGGTCTCAAACTCTTGGCTTCAAGGGATCCTCCTGCCTTGGTCTCTCAAAGTGCTGGGATCACAGACATGAGCCACTGCGCCCGGCTTTGTTGTTGTTGTTGTTGTTGTTGTTTTTGAGACGGTCTTGTTCTGTCACTCAGGCTGAAGTGCAGTGGCATGATCACGGCTCACTGTAACTTTGACCTCCCAGGCTCAAGAAATCCTCCTGCCTCAGCCTACAGAGTAGTTGGGACTACAGGTGCATGACATCACACTCAGCTAATTATTATTATTATTGTAGAAACAGAGTCTCACTGTGTTGCCCAGGCTGGCCTCGAAACCCTGGGCTCAAATGATCCTCCCACCTCAGCCTCCCAACATGCTAGGATTACAGGCAGGAGCCACTGCTGCAGCCAGCCTCTTTTCTTTCTTGAGATAGGGTCCACCGTGTCCCCCAGGCTGTAGTGCAGTGTCACCAGCATAGCTCACTGTAGTCTTGAACTCCTAGACTCAAGGAATCCCCTCTCTCCAGCCTCCCAAGTACCTAGGGAATTAATTCTAAGTAACCATTGGAAGAAAAAACAAAGTGGTAATTGGACAAATCCTCCGTTAAGGAAAGCAAGCATAGGCAGCGGTGTCCAATCTTTTGGCTTCCCTGGGCCGCACTGGAAGAAGAATTGTGTTGGGCCACACACAAAATACACCAATGATGAACTAAAAAAAAAAAAAAATCACACAAAAAAATCTCTCATAATGTTTTAAGAAAGTTTACGAATTTGTGTTGGGCCCCAGTCAAAGCCATCCTGGGCCGCATGTGGCCTGCGGGCTACAGGTTGGACAAGCTTGACTTAAAGTATCATTAGGCCCCAACCTGGTGGGGTGGCTCACGCCTGTAATTCCAATGCTTTGGGAAACCAAGGCAGGAGGCTCGCTTGAACCCAGGAGTTCAAGAGCAGCCTGGGCAACACAGTGAAAACCTGTCTCTACAAAAAAATTTAAAAATTAGCTGGGCCTGGTGGCATGCGCCTGTAGTCCCAGCTACTAGGGAGGCTGAAGTGGTAGACTCCCTTGAGCCCCGGAGGCCGAGGCTGCAGTGAGCTATGCTCATGCCATTGCACTTTAGCCTGGGCAACAGAGCAAGACCCTGTCTCAAAAAGGTCCCTAAGATGAATCAGAACGGAATTCTTCAAGTTATTTTGTCTACTAGCTTCTTGATATAACTCTGCAGAATCATTCTAATTGTATGACAGTTATTCCAACTAGATCGGAATCATTCCTAAGAGACGGAGCATCTCTGGCACAGAATATGCTATAGGCCCTTTGAAAATATGTCTTAATATTTCATATTCTCTTACAAGTTGTAGGATTGCAGGCAAATTACTGGACCTCACTAAGCCTATTTTCTCATCTGTAAAATCCTGCCCAGGCTGGAGTGCCTGGCACAACTTATATGCTCAATAAATGTTGATGAAATGAATTTTAAGAGATGTCTGCTTTTGGCTCACTGTTTTTCTTCCATTCTTTCTATACGCACTTCCCTTCTCCCCTGTCTTCCCCATTTCTCTTTTCTCTTTTTTTTTTTTGAGACAGAGTCTCGCTGTGTTGCCCAGGCTGGAGTGCAGTGGTGCGATCTTGGCTCACTGCAACCTCTGCCTCCCGGGTTCAAGCGATTCTCCTGCCTCAGCCTCCCAAGTAGCTGGGATTACAGGCATGTGCCACCATGCCTGGCTAATTTTTTAATTTCTTTTTAGTAGAGATGGGGTTTCACCATGTTGGCCAGGCTGGTCTCCAGCTCCTGACCTCAGGGGATCTGCCCGCCTCAGCCTCCCAAAGTGCTGGGATTACAGGCATGAGCCACCATGCCCAGCCCATTTCTCCTCCTTCTTCCTCTTCCCTCCCTTCTATTTCCAAATTGTATGGCAGTCAGTGAATCTTTTTTTTTTTTTTTTGAGACAAGATCTCTCTGTTGCCCAGGCTGGAGTGCAATGGTGCGATCTTGGCTCACTGCAATCTCCGCCTCCCACCTCAACCTCCCGAGTAGCTGGGCCTACATGTACGTGCTACCACGCCACCACACCCAGCTAATTTTTTGCTTTTTTTTTTTTTTTTTTTTTTTTTGGTAGAGATGGGGTTTTGCCATGTTGCCCAGGCTGGTCTCAAACTCCTGGTCTCAAACAATCTACCTGCCTCGGCCTCCCAATGTGCTGGGATTACAGGCATGAGCCACTGTGCCTGGTATAGGTTTGAATCTTTAGGAAGACTAGAGTTAAAGCAAAAATGTGATGGTTTTACTTCTTCATCAACTGGAATCCTTTTACCTATATAATCCCTTAGATTTCCTTCAAGGTCCACCTTATATATCACTCAAGTAAATAAAGCCTTTTGCAGAAAACCTCAGCCCACATTGATAACTGTAGTTTTGTTTCTCACAGAATCTAAATAGTGTTAGACAGGGATTTATTGAATAGTGTCCGTACATACAAAAATATACTTTTGAAAACTCAAGAGCATGTTCTGGTAATTTTTCTTTCTCAAATGGAATATTAAGACTTCAGAGTAACAGTCTGAAGATCAGAAATGCAGAGTTAAAAGTCTTTAGCTTCTGCCCATGGTAAACAGAAGGTACTGCATCATGGAAGTGTTTTTTATTGTTGTTGTTTTAGACCGAGTTTTGCTCTTGTCGTCCAGGCTGGAGTGCAGTGATGCAATCTTGGCTCATTGCAACTTCGGTCTCCCAGGTTCAAGCGATTCTCCTGCCTCGGCCTCCCAAGTAGCTGGGATTACAGGCACCTGCCACTACGCTGGGCTAATTTTGTATTTTTAGTAGAGACAGGGTTTCTCCATGTTAGTCAGGCTGGTCTCAAACTCCTGACCTCAGGTGATCCACCTGCCTCGGCCTCCCAAAGTGCTGGGATTATAGACATGAGCCACCATGCCCGGCCAATGTAAGTGTTTATAAGGACGTACAACATTGGCTGTGCCAAGCCAAAGGCATCTGGTTTTAATGCCGTTGCCATGGGCCTCTGAGTACCCTGAGTTCCTTCCTGGATTGGTATTTTGCACAAACATTTTAATGGCCCTCCACGGTGACCGTGTGGAAACACAGAGAAAGATATAAAATCCTGACAGGCTATGATGGTAAAACCAAGATCGAGGCATACTAACAAGCGAGCGGAAGTGCTATTCCGTGTCCTCTTCTTCCCAGTGTGTGAGAACAGCCAGCCTAGAAGCAGTGGGGTACAGGCTCCTTTTCAGAGTTTCACTAAGAAAAGATTTGCCTTCACTACAACCTCGAATCCGAGTTGTCCATGGTGTCGGGAACCTTCCTCGTGGTCAGGTCCATGGACTGATGCATCACAGTTTTGGGTTTTCATGGCAGACCAAACATTACTTCCAAATCCCAAAATTGCCTTCAGATCGGGACCTCTGGACTTGTTATTCGAATTCAGAGAAGCATGATTTACTAATAAAAAGAGGCAGTCTACCAACTCGAGTTAATAAGGCTGTGATGGCTGCCATAATAACGTGAGCCAAGGGCTTTAATGGTAGTGTCTGCTTTCATAACTGTACATAAAGTACAGAACGGAGTACTGGTTCCTGGAAGTTTGGAAGCTACTATCTGGGAAGTTGGCACTTGTCTTAGACCTCAGGCTTCCCCTCTGGTTGGGTAGCAAAAGGAAAATGGTAATGTTGTCTATTAAAGAGACAAAAGCCACAGGAAAAAAATAGTTCTCTATTAAATTAACATTTACAGCCAGGCTCGGTGGCTCACGCCTGTAAACCCAGCACTTTGGGAGGCTGAGGCGGGTGGATCACTTGAGGTCAAGAGTTCGAGACCAGCCTGGCTAACATGGTGAAACCCCATCTCTACTAAAAAAAAAAAAAATACAAAAATTAGCCAAGTGTGGTGGCGTGCACCTGTAATCTCAGCTACTTGGGAGGGTGAGGCAGGAGAATCACTTGAACCTGGGAGGCAGAGGTTGTAGTGAGCTGAGATCGCGGCACTGCACTCCAGCCTAGGAGACAGAGTGAGATCACATCTCAAAAATAAAATAAAATAAAATAAATTAACATTTCTATTTGCTGTCTATGACTTAGAATACCGGCTGATACTATACGAGTCCATAGACTCAGAATAAACTCTGAGCTCCAGTAATCCTAGTTACTTGGGAAGCTGAGGTAGGACTAGTTACTTGGGAAGCTTGAGGCCAGGAGTTCAAAACAAGCCTGGGCAACAAAGAGAGAACCCCCCCATCTCAATTAAAAAAAAAAAAAAAAAGGCCAGTCGTGATGGCTCATGCCTGTAATCCCAGCAGTTTGGGAGACTGAGGCAGGTGGATCACCTGAGGCCAGGAGTTTGCGGCCAGCCTGGACAACATGGCAAAACTCCGTCTCTACTAAAAACACAAACATAAGCTGGGCCTGGTGGCATGTGTTTTACTATTGTTTTTGTTGCTGCTGTTAGAGTCAATGCTAGGCATTGATAGTTTTGATGCTATTGTAAATAATATATATAAATTTTCAATTTTCTATTCTAAATCTGTTGCTGATGTATAAAAGATAGATTTTTATATATGAATCTTGGTTCTTTTTTTCCCAGGAGTTTCATGGAAGTGCTGATCCATTGTTATCTTGCTTTGGATGTTGATGTTCAGAAGTCTGAAACTTTTTTTGCTTTGTGACTCTTTCTTTTTGCTGAGTATCTAAGGCAATTAATCCTACACATCTAAGCTACCACCAACACTTTCATATACAAAAACCTGCCATTCTTGTTGGCATCATTTTCTGACCCACAGTTCCCTAATGTGCATATACTTCCTATCTTCTTGTTTTCCAACCTTGACCTGACTACTGGTTTTCAGTAACTCCGGGGATTTAACCTGATTTCATCTTGGTCGACCCGACTACTGGTTTTCAGTAACTCCGGGGATTTCACCTGATTTCATCTTGGTCGACCCGACTACTGGTTTTCAGTAACTCCGGGGATGTAACCTGATTTCATCTTGGTCGACCCGACTACTGGTTTTCAGTAACTCCGGGGATGTAACCTGATTTCGTCTTGGTCGACCCGACTACTGGTTTTCAGTAACTCCGGGGATTTAACCTGATTTCGTCTTGGTCGACCCGACTACTGGTTTTCAGTAACTCCGGGGATTTAACTTGGTTTCTTCTTGGTCGACCCGACTACTGGTTTTCAGTAACTCCGGGGATTTAACTTGGTTTCTTCTTGGTCGACCCGACTACTGGTTTTCAGTAACTCCGGGGATTTAACTTGGTTTCTTCTTGGTCGACCCGACTACTGGTTTTCAGTAACTCCGGGGATTTAACTTGGTTTCTTCTTGGTCGACCCGACTACTGGTTTTCAGTAACTCCGGGGATTTAACTTGGTTTCGTCTTGGTCGACCCGACTACTAGTTTTCAGTAACTCTGCGGATTTAACCTGGTTTCATCTTGGTCGACCCGACTACTGGTTTTCAGTAACTCTGGGGATTTCACCTGGTTTCATCTTGGTCGACCCGACTACTGGTTTTCAGTAACTCTGGGGATTTCACCTGGTTTCATCTTGGTCGACCCGACTACTGGTTTTCAGTAACTCTGGGGATTTAACCTGGTTTCATCTTGGTCGACCCGACTACTGGTTTTCAGTAACTCTGGGGATTTCACCTGATTTCATCTTGATTGACCCGACTACTGGTTTTCAGTAACTCTGGGGATTTCACCTGATTTCATCTTGGTTGACCCGACTACTGGTTTTCAGTAACTCTGGGGATTTCACCTGGTTTCATCTTGGTTGACCTGACTACTGGTTTTCAGTAACTCTGGCGATTTAACTTGGTTTCATCTTGGTCGACCCGACTACTGGTTTTCAGTAACTCTGGGGATTTCACCTGGTTTCATCTTGGTAGTTCTTTTTTGTTCCAAGGCTTGCCTTGGATCTTCTAGTCTTGGTTTCTTTCTTTCTTTTTTTAAGACCCACTACGAAGCAGAATCTTGGTTTCTTAACCTATTTTTTTTGCTGATGATCACAATATCTGAATGATATTCTACTTTAATTTTACTTTGGCTGAATGTAATGGCTGAGAATATAATTAAGAGGATACATCTCAGGAGCAAGTGTTGTTGCTGTTAGGAAAATTCTACCATCAACAGGTGTGGTCCTTATGGTAGAATGGGAGTTAACTGGCAAAGTGCTAAATCTGAGGTTTCTTTTGACATTGCTTTGGAGGGCTTAAAAGGAGACTAATATAAATATCTTCTGGCCAGGCACAGTGGCTCACATCTGTAATCTCAGCACTTTGGGAGGCCGAGGCGGGTGGATCACCTGAGGTCAGAAGTTCAAGACCAGCCTGGCCAATATGGTGAAACCCCATCTCTACTAAAAACACATAAATTAGCCAGGTGTGGTGGCCTACACCTGTAATCCCAGCTACTTGGGAGGCTGAAGCAGGAGAATCGCTTGAACTCGAGAGACGGAGGTCGCAGTGAGCCAAGATCGAGCTGCTGCACTCCAGCCTGGGCGACAGAGCTAGACTCCATCTCAAAAATAAAAATAAATAAATAAATAAATAAATAAATAAATATCTTCTATTTTAAAACATACTTAAAAGATACTTATCTTCTATAAGATAATGTCAAAAGATTCATGACTTTTAAAATAGAAGATATTTATATTAGTCTTTTTAAATTATGAGAGTTTTTCAGGGAAAAGAGTTAGGAAACCTCTGAAAAAGTCTATTCATTACAGAGAAAACTTAAACACAAACTAGTTTTCATGAAGTTTCCCAGAGAAGAAAAGTAGTTTTTAAAAAATATAAGCTACATGCAGAGGGTTAAGAGGGATAATGACATCAAGACCTAGAGCTACCTAAGGTGCTTTGTAATTGGCAAATACAAAATAAGAGAAGGTGTTAGGCAATTTGCTTGGAAGACTTACAGATAATATCTTAAAAAAAAGTCTAGTGACTTTGTTTTTGAGACGGTCTCACTCTGTTGCCCAGGCTGCAGTGCAGTGGGGAGACCACAGCTCACTGCAGCCTCAACCTCCTAGGCTCACGCAGTCCTCCTACCTTAGCCTCCCACGCAGTTAGGACTACAGATGTGTACTACCACATCCAGATAATTTTTTTACTTTTCCAGTTATTTTTATAAGTTATTTATTTATAGAGACAGAGTCTTGCTATGTTGCCCAAGCTGGTCTTAAACCCCAGGCCTCAAATGATCCTTCCACCTCCTAGTGACCTTTTAAAAACAATTCTTCCATATAAACTTACAATATTCTCAGGCCCAGTGCAGTGGTTCACACCTATCATCCTAGCGTTATGGGGGGGCCAAGGCAGACAGATCACTTGAGCTCAGGAGTTCGAGATCAGCCTGGACAACATAGTGAAACCCTGTCTGTATCAAAAATTTAAGAAATTATCTGGGTGTGGTGGCAGGTGCCTGTAGTCCCAGCTATCTGGGGGCTGAGGCAGGAGAATCATTTGAGCCTGGGAGGCAGAGGTTGCAGTGAGCTGAGATCACTCCACTGCACTCCAGCCTAGGTGACAAAGTGAGACCGTGTCTCAAAAACAAAACAAAACAAAAAACAGTAAAAAATAAATAAATAAAAATATTCTCTCAGCTGGGCATGGCAGCTCATGCCTGTAATCCCAATGCTTTGAGAGGCCAAGGAGGGAGAAACACTCGAGGCCAGGAGGCTGAGACCAGCCTGGACAACAAAGCAAGACCCCACCTCTACGAACAATTAAACCGCAGCCTGGCGTGGTGGCACGTGCCTGTAGTCCCAGCTACTCAGGAGGCTGAGGTGGGAGAATTGCTTGAGCGCAGGATTGCAATGAACTATAATTGTGCCATTGCACTCCAGCCTGAGTGACAGAGTGAAGATCCTGTGTCTACAACAAATAAATAGGCTGGGCACGGTGGCTCACACCTGTAATCTCAACATTTTGGGAGGACGAGATGGGCAGATCACCTGAGGTCAGGAGTTTGAGACCAGCCTGGTCAACATGGTGAAACCCCGTCTGTACTAAAAATATTTTAAAAATTAGCTGGGCATGGTGGTGCATGCCTGTAGTCCCAGCTACTCGGGAGGCTGAGGCAGGAGAATCGCTTAAACCCAGGAGGCAGAGGTTTCAGTGAGCCGAAATTGTGCCATTGCACTCCAGCCTGGGTGATGGAGTGGACAGGGTGAGACTCCATCTCACTCCACCAAAAAATAAAAATAAAAATGAAATATATAAATAAAATAGTTTTCCAACGTCTATGTAGGGAATAACGAAAATTCCCTTCTGTGAAGCATAAACTTGTCCAAACAGCTGGTCAGTGAAAAGCTGATAACGGGCCATCCTCTGTAACTTTCTCTTTTCTTTTTTTGAGACGGAGTCTCGCTCTGTCACCAGGCTGGAGTGCAGTGGCACTGTCTTGGCTCACTGCAACCTCCGCCTCCCAGGTTCAAGCGATTCTCCTGCCTCAGCCTCCTGAATAGCTGGGACTACAGGTGCGCACCACCACACCCGGCTAATTTTTGTATTTTGAGTAGAAACGGGGTTTCAGCATGTTGGCCAGGATGGTCTCGATCTCTTAACCTCGTGATCCGCCCGTCTTGGCTTCCCAAAGTGCTGGGATTATAGGCGTGAGCCACCGCGCCCGGCCATCCTCTGTAACTTTCTAAACTGCTCCTAGAAAAGTTGTCAGTCATCCTAATACAGCTGGTTTCTAACTGCTTAGGTTGTAGCCCCAACTTTGTTTTGCAAGTCAATTCCTTAAAACTTGGGATGCATTTTCTTATAAAAGTAAACTAGATACGAGGTTAGGTCCTAATGACCACAAAAGCTCGCAAATCCACTTTGTCCTCAAAATACAATACAAATAACATAATGAAGCCCAACCACTATGTATGAGAAGGTTCATAATGTGCTGAATGTCTTCTTTAGGAATATACTTTTCCATCTGGGATGTGAGAGTACAAGAGACTGCCTGAGACAAGGCCCCCTGTGGGGGAGGGTGGGGGTGTATGTGGGGTGGGATATGACGATGGGATGAGGTCATCTGTGGGGGAGGGTGGTGGTGTATGTGGGGTGGGATATGAGGATGGGATGAGGTCATCTGTGGGGGAGGGTGGGGGTGTATGTGGGGTGGGATATGAGGATGGGACGAGGTCATCTGTGGGGGAGGGTGGGGGTGTTTGTGAGGTGGGATATGAGGATGGGACGAGGTCATCTGTGGGGGAGGGTGGGGGTGTTTGTGGGGTGGGATATGAGGATGGGATGAGGTCATCTGTGGGGGAGGGTGGGGGTGTATGTGGTGGGATACGAAGATGGGAACTAAGGGCTCCAGGGGGTTGGGGTCTCGCAGGGCTCTATATTCCAGACACACCTGTACGACCCAGGCCAGCTCTCTACTTGCTATCTTTATATCTTCTGTTTTTTTTTTTTTTTTTCTGAGACGGAATCTCGCTCTGTCACCCAGGCTGGAGTTCAATGGTGCAATCTTGACTCACTGTAACCTCCCAGGGTTCAAGTGAGTCTCCTGCCTCAGCCTCCCAAGTAGCTGGGATTACGGGCACCTGCCACCATACCCGGCTAATTTTTGTATTTTTAGTAGAGATGGGGTTTCACCATGTTGGCCAGGCTGGTCTCAAATTCCTGACTTCAGGAGATCCGCCCGCCTCAGCCTCCCAAAGTGCTGGGACTACAGGCGTGAGCCACCGTGCCCGGCTATGTTTTCAATAGTAAAGGAATGCCGGAGGAAACAACAATCTTTTACATGTAACTCTTCTCTGCTTGAGAAAGATGGCTTCCATATATTTAATAGCTGTGTTAGCTCGGTCACTTTTGGTGTTAAGCAGGTAATTCTTACCTGGACTTCAAATTGCCATTCCTTTTTGACATTAATTAGCTGTTTTTGAAGTGATATTATCTGTTTTCTTCCTTTTTCCTCCCTAGAAGATATAAGAATGATTTGTGTTTAGAGCAGTGCTTCTCAAAACTTACGTGCACAAGGACCACCCCGCACATAAGAAAACCAGATTCCTGGCCTCTTCCCCCAGAGAATCTGACTCAGCAGGTCTGGGAGGGGCCTGAAGTGTGCATCTCTATCGAGTTCCCAAGCAATGCTAACAGGGCTGGTCCACGTCACATTTTCAATAACACGTTTTAAAAGACAGATTTGTTTTAATAGATTGGAGGAAGATTCTCTGGCTTGTCAGTGTCGAATCTAAAAATAGCTGCTGCTGAGAAAAAGTGAAGAAGAGAAGGACAGCAAGAGGAGAAAGAAGAATCCTTTCTACTTTGGGCACTTCAATTACATATTCTAACCCTCACAATAGCCTGATTTCTATTTTACCGATGAGAAAATGCGGTGTAGACAGCTAAGGTGAGTTGATGTGCTGGATGTGAGAATGTGCCTCACCGATCTCCAACTACAGGGGGCGTAAGTCAGCAAGGGTCCCGGCTTCTAGGCTCTGCAATCCTTCTCTGTGTGTTCTGAGGCCACACTGCCCACAGACTGCTCCCATCCCATTATTAAGTGTGGCAGGAATCACATGGGATGGGCCTTTCCTGGGGAGTCAGGGCGTCTCTGATGGTTGACTTTGGCTCAAGGACTCTTGATGACCTTGCCAAACACAGCCGTGTCTTCCAGCCTCTCCTTCACTGGGGGTCAGCCTTGCACTGGTTCTGAAGGTTCCCTCCCCATTTTCTCTCACGCAGATCTTTCCCCTGATAAAATCTTTGCATGAATAATTCCATCTCAGCATCCATTTTTCAGAAGACCTGGACTAACACACTTGCCATGGTCACACAAACAGTAAATGGCAGAAAGGGGTTCAAACTCAGGACTGTCGGACACCGGAGCCTGTGAACTTAACTACTTTGTATGACTGTTTCTCAATCTACTCTGAGAAACAGCCTTCTGCTTCTCTCCAGCAATCCCATTATTTAGGTTTAAAACAAACAAAAAATAGCAAAACAATACCAGAATAAACAAAACAAAACAAAAGAAGACTTCTCACTAAACTGCAGCTAGGTAAAGATTTTTACTCAAGAATTTCTATTTTTATGTATTTATTTTTCTTTTTTTGAGACAGAGTCTCACTCTGTTCTCCAGGCTGGAGTGCAGTGGCACGATCTCGACTCATTGCAACCTCCGCCTCCCGGGTTCAAGCAATTCTTCTGCCTCGGCCTCCTGAGTAGCTGGGATTACAGGCATGTGCCACCACACTGGCTAATTTTTGTATTTTTAGTAGAGATGGGTTTTTACCATGTTGGCCAGGCTGGTCTCGAATTCCTGACGTCAGGTGATCCACCCGCCTTGGCCTCCCAAAGTGCTGGGATTACAGGTGTGAGCCACTGCACCCAGCCAGGAATTTTTAGAAAGCACATAGTTAATTAACTAGAATCTTGAGATTGTCATTGCCAAAACAAACTATAGATTATGTACTTCCCACTCATAGATCACAAAAAATAGATAAGAAAGCTACAGAATGAGTACTTTCCGTCTACTATTAATTCAATATCCCAAGGAAAGGTTTATTGAAACAAACAAATATCATTTACATGAGATTATAAAAGTGCCCATTTTACACATATACACCATGGAATACTATGCAGCCATAAAAAAGGATGAGTTCATGTCCTTTGCAGGGACGTGGATGAAGCTGGAAACCATCATTCTCAGCAAACTGTCACAAGGACAGAAAACCAAACACCGCATGTTCTCATTCATAGGTGGGAGTTGAACAATGAGAACATATGGACACAGGGAGGGGAACATCACACACTGGGGCCTGTTGTGGGGTGGGGGGCTGGGGGAGGGAGAGCATTAGGAGAAATACCTAATGTTGATGACAGGCTGATGGGTGCAGAAAACCACCATGGCACATGTATACCTATGTATCAAACCTGCACGTTTTGCACACGTGCCCTAGAACTTAAAGTATCAAATGCAAAGAAAGTATGAAGAGAAATAAAAATCACCCATAATCCCACTATCTGGAGTTAACTATCATTGAAATTTTATTATATTTCCTTCCAGTCAATACACACTATAATTTTTTCTTACAAAACTAAGTTATATTATGGGTATTATTTTTATCCTAACTTTTTCACTTGACATAACCATGTGCTCTTTCTCATTTTATTTAGCAGGTGAACACATGCATTTATTTCTGTTCCCTCTTTTTTTTTTTTTTTTTGTTTTTTTGAGGCAGAGTCTTGTTGTGTCGCCCAGCCTAGAGTGCAGTGGCGCAATCTCGGCTCACTGCAACCTCCACCTCTCGGGTTCAAGCGATTCTCCTGCCTCAGCTTCCTGAGTAGCTGGGGACTACAGGTGCGCATCACCATGCCTCGCTAATTTTTGCATTTTTAGTAGAGGTGGGGTGTCACCATGTTGGCCAGGCTGGTCTCAAACTCCTGACCTCAAATGATCCATCCACATCGTCTTCCCAAAGTGCTGGGATTACAGGCGTGAGCCACCATGCCTAGCCCTCTGTTCACTCTTGAAACAATACTAAAATAACAGGCAAGAAATAATGAAAGGTGTAAACCTATAAACACAAAGAGATTGGGAGAAGAAATGATGCAGCTGACAGACATCAGCAAAATTAAAGAAGATATAAAGCAGACAAGAGAAAAATGAGATCTAAATGTGTACAGAATGAGAAGCTAAGAAGAAGAAAACAGAATAAAGCTACAGGCCCCCCAGAAAAGCTCAGCACATGAAGGCACTACACATCTTCGAAGGCACAACTGTGCCACAGGGCTAAATCCAGGTGGAGCGATCAAAAGTCTGGCAAAGGAGCAGGATGACCTGATTCCCTTCCCCAGCCCTGTGGCCAGGCAGCTGCCTTTTCTCCTCTCGGGAGATCATGGGTGTTTGGTTAGTTTTGGCCAGGTTGCCTGGAATGGTTGAACCAAGGATTTGGACTTGCAGACGGACACCAGACACAGCTGGAGGTGGAGATGAAGGACCATGCTAAAAACAGGGGGACCAAAAAACATTCTGCTTAATGGATGGTGAGTTTCCCCAGCCTTTCCCTGGCTAGCTCTCAACACATGGGTAGTCAGAGAATAACCACTGACAATAACCATTACTTCTTCACTGCTCCTCACCCCTCCCAGCAAAGATTGGTAGATTCTTCGAGAATGCTGACTACACCAAGGGAAAAGATGTACTTTTCTTTTCTGCCCAGCCATGCTACAGTGCAGTGTTGCCCACATGCACAGAGCAGAGCATCCATCAGCTTCTTGGCACTTCACTCTTAAATACAAACGGACAGCCAAAGATGACCAAACACAATTCCCCTAACATTAAAAACAGAGACTAGAGCCAGGTGCGGTGGCTCACACCTATAAGCCCAACACTTTGGGAGGCCAAGGTGGAAGGATCACTTGAGGCCAGGAGTTGGAGACTGGCCTGGGCAACATAGTGAGACTTCATCTCTAAAAAAACAAACAAAAAAAATTAGCTGGGCATAGTGGCAAATGTCTTCCAGCTACTCAGGAGGCTGAGGCAGAAGGATAGCATGAGCTCAGGAGTTCGAGGCTGCAGTGGGCTATGATCATGCCACTGCACTCCAGCCTGGGTGACAGAGTAACATTTGCTCTAAAAAATTTAGATGTAAATTAAAAAACAAAACAAAACAAAACAGAAAAACAGAAGGCTGGGCATGGTGGCTCATGCCTATAACCCCAGCACTTTGGGAGGCCGAGGCAGGCGAGGCAGGCGGATGAACTCTAGCATGGGCAACAAGAGTGAAACTCTGTCTCAAAAACAAAACAAAACAAAACAGAAACTAAAACAAATGGGAGAAAAAGTAACTCGGAGAGAAGAAAGACAATACAAGAAACAGAAGACAACTTAAACAAAAAAAGACAACTATAATTAATGTTCTTAGAAATATATGAGAAGGCCAGGCACGGTGGTTCAAACCTGTAATCCTAGCACTTTGGGAGGCCAAGACGGGCAGATCACTTGAGCTCAGGAGTTCGAGACCAGCCTGGGCAACATGGCAAAACCCCATCTCTACAAAAAAATACATAAAATTAGCTGGGCATGCCTGGGTCCCCAGCGACTTGAGGGGGCTGAGGCAGGAGGATTGCTTGAGCCCAGGAAGTCGAGGCTGCCATGAGCCAAGATCATGCCACTGCACTCTAGCCTGAGTGACAAAAAAGAATACTATAAAAAATGAAAAACTCAGGGAAGAGCTCTTAGAAATCAATGTTAGCATAACATTTTGAAAAATTAAACACAAGGGTTAGAAGATAAGGCCAGTTGTGGTTGGGGTTACAGGCGTGATCCTAGCACTTTGATTACAGGCATGATCCCAGCACTTTGGGAGGCCGAGGCGGGTGGGTTGTTTGAGCCCACGATTTTGAGACCAGCCTGGTTAACATGGTGAGACTCTGACTTTACAAAAATAAAACAATTAGCCAGGCATGGTGGCACACACCTGTGGTCCCAGCTACTCGGGAGGCTACTCACTTGAGCCTGGGACCCAGGATGAGGCTGCAGTGAGCTGTGGATCGTGCCACTGCACTTTGGCCCGGGAGGCAGAGCGAGACTCAGTCTCAGAAAAAAAAAAAAAAAAAGAAAGAAAAGAAAAGGAAGAGCCTGTGTTCCCAGCACTTTGGGAGGCCGAGGTGGGCGGATTACGAGGTCAAGAGATCAAGACCATCCTGGCCAACGTGGTGAAACACTGTCTCTACTAAAAATACAAAAATTAGCCAGGCGCAGTGGTGGGTGCCTGTAATCCCAGCTACTAGGGAGGTGGAGGCAGGAGAATCACTTGAACCCGGGAGGCGGAGGTTGCAGTGAGCCAAGATTGTGCCACTGCACTCCAGTCTGGTGACAGAGCGAGACTCCATCTCAAAAAAAGAAAAAAAAAAGAAAAGAAAAGAAAGAAAGAGTTGGAAGACAAAGTTAAGGAAATCTCTCTAAGAATAGAATAAAAACAATGCAGATGGTAAATGAGCAAAAAAGGACAAGAAAAATGCAGGATCAATCATTACAGGATCAACATCCAAAGAGAGTTCCAGGCCGAGCGCGGTGGCTCATGCCTGTAATCCCAGCACTTTGGGAGGCTGAGATGGGTGGACCACTTGCAGTCAGGAGATTGAGACCAGCCTGGCCAACATGGTGAAACCCCATCTCTACTAAAAATACAAACATTAGCCAGGCGTGGTGGCAGGCGCCTGTAATCCCAGCTACTTCGGAGGCTGAGGCAGGGGAATCGCTTGAACCTGGGAAGCGGAAGTTGCAGTGAACTGAGATCGTGCCACTGTACTGCAACCTGGGTGACAGAGCAAGACTCCATCTCAAAAAAACAAAACAAACAAACAAACAAAAAAAGAGTTCTAGACAGAATTCATAAATTGAAAGGTTCTGGAAAAGAAAAACTTTCCTTGGCATTCATTTGTTATTGTTCAGTGATTTTCAATGAATTAAATCTATTTTTTTTTTTGAGATGGAGTCTTGCTCTGTCGCCCAGGCTGGAGTGCAGTGGTGCGATCTCGGCTCACTACAAGCTCTGCCTCACTACAAGCTCTGCCTCCCGGGTTCAGGCCATTCTCCTGCCTTGGCCTCCCAAGTAGCTGGGACTACAGGCGCCCGCCACCACGCCCGGCTAATTTTTTGTATTTTTTAGTAGAGATGGGGTTTCACCGTGTTAGCCAGGATGGTCTTGATCTCCTGACCTCGTGATCCGCCCGCCTCAGCCTCCCAAAGTGCTGGGATTACAAGCGTGAGCCACCGCGCCCGGCCGAATTCAATCTTAAGAAAGGTTACTAGAGAAGGAAGAATGGTCTTGATATATTGTAAATACAGATAATGAAGTCCTAGAAATCTGACTTATTGTCCCAGCAGAACTAGGAAGAAAACCCAAATTCTGACTTCTAGTTATCTTCCCTGGAAAGCACACGGTTGGTTTGCTTTAAAATTCAAGGATTTCCAGTAAGAGTGTTTTAGCACTTTAAAATACAGCAAAGCAAGTAAACCTAACATGACTCTGACCTGGCAATGATGTCATAGAAATGCATTTTGTTTTCCCTCTCTTTGCTCAAAGCTTGCAGGAGACTGTTGTAAGTGGCCGAATCTTGCAACTCCTTAATGGTATCTGCAATCACATCGCTGAAAAACTGCCTGTAAGGAGAAACAGACCAACAAAAAATGAGTTAATAAATTCTATTTTCAGCCGGGCATGGTGGCTCACCCCTGTAATCCCAGCACTTTGGGAGGCTGAGGCAGGCGGATCACGAGGTCAGGAGATCAAGACCATCCTGGCCAACATGGTAAAACCCCATCCCTACTAAAAATACAAAAAAATTAGCCAGGCGCGGTGGCAGGTGTCTGTAATCCCAGCTACTCGGAAGGCTGAGGCAGGAGAATTGCTGGAACCCGGGAGGTGGAGGTTGCGGTGAGCAGAGATCACCAATGCACTCCAGTCTGGCAACAGAGTGAGACTCCGTCTCAATAAATAAATAAATAAATAAATAAATAAATAAATAAATAATATTTTCAGGCCAGGTGCAGTGGCATGTGCCCTAATTCCAGCTACTTGGGAGGCTGAGGTGGAAGAATTGCTTGAGCCCAGGAGTTTGAGATCAGCTGGGACTACACAGCAAGACCTGGTCTCAAAAAATATATATATGTATTATATATATATGTATTTATATATGTATTATATATAATATACATTATATATGTATAATATATATTATATATGTATAATATATGTATTATATATGTATTATATGCATATTATGTATTATATATATGTATAATATATATTATATATTATTATATATTATATTATATTGTATTATATATTACATATTATATATGTATAATATATATTAATATAAAATATTATATATTATACATATATATAAAATACATATATTATACATATATATATAAAATACATATATTATACATATATATATATAAAATACATATATTATACATACGCATTTCCCTACATTCACAAAGGGCTACAGAAGTCACACAAGTTAAGACCCAGGCCAGGTGCAGTGGCTCACGCCTGTAATCCCAGCACTTTGGGAGGCCAAGGTGGGTGGATCACTTGAGGTCAACATAGTGAAACCTCGTCTCTACTAAAAATACAAAAATTAGCCAGGTGTGGTGGTGCCCACCTGTAATCCCAGCTACTCGGGAGGCTGAGGCAGGAGAATTGCTTGAATCCAGAAGGCAGAGGTTACAGTGAGCTGAGATTGTGCCACTGCACTCCAGCCTGGGCAACACAGCCAGACTCTTGTCTCAAAAAAACACAAAAAACAAAAAAACCGCAAAAGTTTGATTAGGTCTTTAAAAAAATTTTTTTAAATGATTTAACTTTTTCAAAATTATGAAGTATTTCAAAAATTCAGAAAGTATAAAG